>NC_000009.12:102614491-102766006 GCF_000001405.40 Homo sapiens
TCACTCACAAGCGGAAGCTAAGCTATGAAGATGTAAACATATAAAAATGGTACAATGGACTTCAGGGACTTGGGGGAAAGGATGGGAGGGAGTGAAGGATAAAAGACTACAAATTGGGTTCAGTGTATACTGCTTGAATGATGGGTGCACTGAAATGTCACAATCACCATAAAAAATTAAAAATAAATAAATAAAAATAATTGTCAGGGAAGTCCTCTCTAAGAATGGGAAGATGGGCAATGTGATAAACCATAATAATGAGCTACAGCTTACTATCTAAAATTTAAAGGAAAACAATTCTAGACACGAAGAAGAAAATATTCAAAAGCTCAATGGTATAAATAAGCTGGAATTTGTGCAGATCAAAAAGATAGATGAGAGGGGTGCAGCATAGCAAGGGAGACAGCGGAGAGTACTGGCTTTGAGAAGTAGGTAGTAGCAAGATTATATAGACCATGCTAATGTAGAAGGAAAATAAAATCTGGGGCCCCAAAAATCACTACGTTAAAGGGATGAGTCAAGCTGGGAATTGCTTAGGACAAACCTACTTCCCATTCTATTCAAAGTCATCCCTCTGCTCGCTGAGATAGATGTATGTCTGATTATCTTCTTCTGAAAGGCTCATCAGAAACTCAAAAGAATGCAACATTTGTCTCTTACCTACCTGTGTCCTGGAAGCCCCCCTCCCTGCTTTGATTTGTCCCGCCTTTCTGGACAGAACCAATGTACACCTTACATATACTGATTGATGTCTCATGTCTCCCTAAAATTATAAAACCAATCTGTGCCCCAACCACCTTGGGCACATATCATCAGGACCTCCTGAGGCTGTGTCATGGGTGTACATCCTTAACTTTGGCAAAATTAACTTCCTAAATTGACTGAGATCTGTCTCAGATATTTGGGGGTCACACTAACATCCCCTACAAACCTCATGTTGAAATTTGATCCACAATATTGAAAGTAGGACCTGGTAGGAGTGGTTTAGATCACGGAGAGAGATCCCTCATGAATACATTAATGTTCTTCCTGAAGGTTGATTTCTTACTCTATTAGTTCTTGAGAGAGCTGGTTGTTAAATGGAGTTTGAGACCTCCCCATCTCTCTCTCTCTTGTATTTTCTCTTACCATATGATTTCTGCAGATATTGACTTCCCTTTACCTTCCACTCTGAAGGGAAGCAGCCAAAGGCCCTCACCAGAGGCAGATGAGCCTTCCAGACATCAGAATCATGAACCTTCAGACATCAGAATTGTGAGCCAAATAAACATTTGTTTCCTTATAAATTACTCAGTCTTGGGCATGTTGTTATAGCAAAACAAAACAGACTAAGAAATACACAATGACTTGTTTGGATGTTATACAGAAAGCAATTAAAAAGCCATTGAAGGAGTTTAAGCATGGAGAAGGAAGATGATGAGTGGAAGTGGTTGTGAAAATGGAATTTTTAAATGACTTATCTGACTGCTATGTAGAGAATGAATAGAAAGGAGGCCAATTAGAAAGCTATAGTGATAATCTTAGTGAGATATTATTGTAGCTGTAAAGAAGGATAAAAAAGGAGAAATGAGGGGAAAAATACATGATTCAAAATATATATTTGAGGTTGAATCAATATGATTTGTCAATGAATTAGAGCAGACAATAATGCGAAAAAAAACCCAAATGAACAAATTATGACTACTAGGTGATCTGGTCTGGCAAACCAGGTGAAGGGCCTTAACATTCATATTTATGGGAGAAACTGTGGAAGGAAGTACTCTTGGAGAAATGAACAGTGAGATTTATACTTTTGTTCTGTATATTCATAAATTTCAAATCCCTATTAGATATGAAAGTGATGATGACCTTTAGCTAAACAAGTGAAGAAGATTGAACATAGTATGTTTATGTACATATATACAGACTGATTATATGTTAAATTATATACACTTAAATTAATTTTTACAGGTGATTTATTTTTCTTATACCTATAATGTATTGCAAAAAAATAGAATATAAGTTTCAACTTCTACTTAATATTTTGACAAATTTCTAAAAGTAGGTTGTTTACTGATTAAATTTATTAAATCTAGAAATTAAGAACACATGAAAAAGATTCTCCCAATCCTTGAAACTATCATAATCATTCTTGAGGAAGAAAATATTAATAATTTAAGAAAATATTACAAGTTTAACTACAAACTATTCAGAAATAAGTGGTCATAAGAATGCATTATACTTAAACTAAGGGAATTCAGCCAATGTTTATCCAATAAAAGACGCAGCTCTTTTAATTTATTATAAATGAATAAAAATAATGTACAATTCAAGATGCTTAGGAACCAAACCAGTAAACCTACAGAAACTATGAAACTAATTAATAATAAAGACATTAATGAGTTACAAAACAATGGGCTTGAAAAATATGCAACTTCATTTCCTTGAAACAGAATACATAAAAGTATAAACCAAAATGTAAACACTTTGCAAAAACTAATTAAGAAACACATAAAATTTATGAAAACGTAGTCACATTTCAGGAATATAATGTTTGCTATGACTGTATATATAGTACGTGTGTGTTTGTACATATTCAAATATATATATACCTATTTGCTAATTTGTTATATTAATAATATGAAAGAGGAAGAATAATACCAAAAAAGTATATGAAGTGGAAAAAATTTTAAATGACACATTATAAGGAAAATAAAAATTGAAGACAATAATTTCAGTAAATGGTAAGAGATTTCTATGTACAAACGTAGTCTAAAATGTGGACAATGCTTTGGATACTTTATGAGATAATATGAATGAGTAATATTTTTGTTACAGTACAACTGAATATATTAAAATAAATATAAAACCTGTTTCATTAATTTCCTTCAAATGTGATATTGATTTACCACAGTTTTAAAAATAAGATCTTTTACATTTATATTGAATACGTTTAACATTATTTTAGCTCACAAAATAAAATGCAGATCTATTAACAATACTCTATTGTGAATAGAATAGAAACTAACAATCCTAGGCAAAAAACCTACCATATGCAATCATAAA
This sequence comes from Homo sapiens, assembly GCF_000001405.40. Classification (NCBI taxonomy): domain Eukaryota; kingdom Metazoa; phylum Chordata; class Mammalia; order Primates; family Hominidae; genus Homo; species Homo sapiens. The sequence goes on from NC_000009.12 coordinate 102,617,537, forward strand.
ACTGTCCACTCAATTGCTGTTATTCACATTCTTATCTTCAACGGCATATTATTTTAGAGAGAGTTAGAATAATATGATTTTTAAAATTTTGCCCCTCTGGTATTATAAGTTTTTTCCAACTCTTTATTTTTATGCATTATCATGAAGTTAAATAATTGCTTTTCGTATTGGAAAAATGGCAACGTTTCAATTTCAAAGAGAATGAAATGGCCAGGACATAGACAAAGTTAAGGCCTTTAAAAAATAGTATGTTGGGGAAGGGGAAACAGGAAAGAAAATAAAGAGAGGCAGTAAAATAGAGGCAATCTTAGTTTGGAAATAAAAACATATTCCACATACATAGATGTACAGTAGAATTGAAAGGAATATAAGTAAGATGTTGCAGGCAGAATAATGGCCCCCAAAGACATCTGTGTACTAATCCTTACAGGTCAATCCTTGTATGTTACCTTGTAAAGCTAAAATGACTTGGAAGGTATTATTAAAATAAGGGTTTTGAGGTAAAGACATTGTTCTGGGCTACCTGAGTGAGCACAGTTTAATCACAAAAATCCTTATAAGTAAAAGATAGAGACATGAGGAAGGTCAGAGTCTGAGAGAGATTTAAGCTTTGAACATGGAAGAAAGGGCCATGAGCCAAGAAAAGTTGATGGCCTCTAGAAGCTGGCAACGGGAGGGAAACAGATTTGTCTTTAAAGCCTTCAGAAGGAACTCAGCTCTACTAACACCCTGATAGTGCATTGACTCATGTCATTGTAATGTAATTCAGCAGCAATAGGTGTGTGTATATGTAGCTTTAATTTGATGAGTGAATAAAAATAAAGTACTATTCATAATGCTTGAAAACAAGACAAATAACCCTACTGATAAAAAGACTAATTTATGATGACATTAATAAATTAGAAAACATTAAGCTAGATAAGTATGCCCATACATATGTAGCATACCTATATGCGTGTGTGTGTATATAAATAGAGAGAACTATTCTTTTCTAAAAAGTACAGACAATACTACTACTAAAGTTTCAGTCCTGTGTTATTTTGATATTTGAATAAAATAAATCTATATTGATGATACCATGTGTCACATGCCAGGTTTGAATATCCTCTAATACAGAATTAAGTTCATTTAACTGCCTAAGACTGTCCAAAGAAGTGATAGTAATACCACTGTATGTTTTAAATGATTATGCAAAACTCTTCATTATAAAATGTTCTTAAGTTCATCAAGTTCTAGTATTTTACATTAAAAAAACTATTCAGAAAACTATTTATTTTAAAAGTGATTACAGTACATACAAGCAAGTCTGTCTTTTCTGGCATTTAGATATATAGTAGTTCCCCAAATGGCATAACTAGAAAACATTTAGGTAGTTACAAGTGCCAGGGAGTGAAATCCATGCAATCCAATCTTTCCCTATCAGGGTGCCTGTGTTTCATTTGATTTTTTCTCAAATACCAAAGTAGAAATATAGTACATGTGTAATGATGATAGGTTCTGGATCTTACGTTAACAGACTGCAATCATTCAATATTCTATCATAATGTTTATCTAAATTATTGATTAAGGTCACCAGGGAGCTCCTGGTTATCAAATTCAACTATCTATATTTAAACATCCCCATATGGCAATATTGTATCAGTTATAGTGAAGACTAGGGGTTTTGAAACTCTCTTCTCAGATTCCTTCCAGGGTATAGCCCACTACACATGAGTTTTCTACAGCCTTTCCACTTTCTTCTCATTCCAAACTCTGCTCTGAAATATCATCCTCGGTTTGACCTCTGGACAACCATTGCCATTTACTTTTCTTCTCTACCTGTTGTTCTGAGCTATTTCTTACAATGCTATTTCTGACTATCAAATATTGATTGATTTGCGTAGCTTTTTAATTAATTGTTTTACAAAATCTAATTTTAGTTCAGAAAAAAAATTATATAGTCTCTCTCAAATAAGTAAGACCTTGGAAGTTGGCAAGGGTAAAAAAACTCAAGAAGCCAAAGAAGGGGAACGGAACTGATGAGGTAGACAGGCTTACAAACGTGAATTTCACTGACTTCTTAGTACAGTGGATTTTGGTTTCTATTAAGTGTCAATCACAGTGCTATGTATTTGATCGACAAGAAGAAATAAACTTTAGGAGTTTAAAGCTTATGAAATAAAATTAGAATTTTATAGGTTATATAATAATCTAATGATATTATTGAACACTGTTCTCTATACAAGTGAGAGGAAATGTTCACTAATGAATGAAAGGCATTGAGCCTAAAAGACATCAAATGGTTAGAGGTCGGCACAAAGAGATTGGTGGGGAGGGGCAGACACAGTGAAATTCAGGTAGAAGGGACAGCGTATATCAAAATATGAAGATTTGAAAGAATGTAGTAGAAACTGCATTTCTAAGTGTCCTGTTGCCTGCTATATCGATCAAAACAAGCCTCTCCATCTGAAAACTGCAGCCATTCCACAGGGTCTCATTGACCATGTCCAGATAAACATGATTAGGGCTAAAGAAAACAATGACAGTTTCCCCTGCCATCATTATGAATAAGGCGGCATATCTTATCTAATAGCTAGAGGAGACTATACTGTGCATGCTAAGTTAAACAAAAATCAACTGGACTACTTTATCTAATCCTTGTTTTCATGATTGAGGAAATCTGGTGCATCAATCCCTAAGAAAAGCAATTTTTTCTATTATAATTACAATTGAAGATATGTCTCAAACTTTGTGGATATTAAATGAGAGTGAGAAATATATTGCCTTTTCACTATGAAGACACTGGCTGTAAATATAATATTTTTTTATCATACTCCTATGTGTGTGTGTGTGTGTGTGTGTGTGTGTGTGTGCATATTTGATTTGCCAGTCCTTCTAATTTTCACTCCCTGGCACTTATAATTTATTCTATTACTTTGTTTTGTTTTTTTGGTACCTTTGGTAAAATTTAATCTTTTAAATGTACTTTTCTATAAGTTTTGATAAATGCATATAGTTGTGCTATCACCACAAGATATAGAACAGTTTCACAAATCACCTAGTCCTTCACATCTCTTTGTAGTTAACTTCTTTTCCACTCAGTGCCTACTAGTCCATGAAGATACAGAATGAGTGAAGGTGGCTGCTATCACATAACATAGTGCACTTGAGATTCACCCATGTTTCTGGTATGTGAAGGGTTGGTTCTTTTTAATTGCTAAGTAGTGTTTTATTATAAAGAGGTATTAGAGTTTGTTTATTCTCCAGTTGATGGACATTTGGATTGAATAGTTATTTTGAGCCACTATGAATAAAGACACTGTAAACATCTGCAAATAGGTTTCTGTGAGTTCATAAATTTTCATTTCAATTAAGTTTATATCTAAGAATGGGATTTCTGGGCTATACGGTATGAGAATAGTTAACTACAGAAGAGTCTATTAAACAGGTTTTCCAAAATGGCTGTATTATTTTGCACTCCCACCGGCAATGCTAAGAGTTCTACTTGTTGTATTTTAACAGTGTGTAGTGATATCTTATTTTGGTTTTGCCTTACCCTATTGAATAATTTTGAACAAATTTTGAAAACAAAAATTATGGTGATATATATGTTTAAATTTTGTATCAACAATGTTATTGTTTTGTTTTAGAGGTGTTGTTTATTATTTACCTCATATTATATACATATGTCTTATATCAGCTATGCCATTTACAAATATGTTCTCCCTGCCTGAGGAGTGTTTTAATTCTTATAATTAAATGATTATATAGAACTCAATATTAAAATGTATACGGAAGTTCTTAATTTTGACAAAATTTAATTTATGTATATTTTATTTTTTTAAATGGAGTCTCGCTCTGTCATCGGCCTGGAGTGCAGTGGCATGATCTCGGCTCACTGCAACCTCCACCTCCCAGGTTCAAGTGACTCTCCTGCCTCAGCCTCTGGAGTAGATGAGATTACAGGTGTGCGCCACCATACCCAGCTGATTTTTGTATTTTTAGTAGAGACGGGGTTTCATCATGTTGGCCAGGATGGTCTCAATCTCCTGACATCATGATCCGCTCACCTTGGCCTTCCAAAGGGCTGGGATTACAGGCTTGAGCCACCACACCCAACCTATCTTTTTTTTTTTTTTTTTAATGAATTGCACTTTTGGTATGGTAACTAAGAATGCTTTGTCTCAATCAGGTCCGAAAGATTGTCTTCTATGTTATTTTTTGTTTGGAAGTTTAATGCTTTTAAGTTTTACATGAAGGTCTAGGATTCATTTTGAGTGCATTTTTGTGTGGTTCCAAATAATGGATCACAATTTATTTTTATTTTTTTATTTTTGGCATATAGATTGGTCTGGCATGTAGATTGTTTTTCAGCCATATGTTGAAGAGATTATTCTGTATCGAATTGCCTTTGCACCTTTGTTGAGAATCAATTGACTATGTATGTGTGAGTCTATTTACAAACTATTAATAGTTTCCATAGAAAAATATGTCTATTATTTTTTCAATTCCATATTGTCTTAACTTTTATAGCTTTATAGTAAGTCTGACAATCAAATAGTATAAATTTCCATCCTGGTTTTCCTTTTTAATAATGGTTTTGGCTATCCTATTTCCTTTGTCTTTCCATTTTAATTTTAGAAAGAACTTGATTTATAAAAATATACTACTGGAATTTTTATTGGAATTGAATTGAATCTATAGATACATCTGGTTTCTCAATAATTTTGAGCCCCCAATCCATGAACATTGTCTCCTCACATATTTAGGAATTATCTGATTTTCTTCATCAGTGTTTTGTAGTATTTAGTGTATATATACTGCATTTAACATTAAGAGAAGTATTTTCTAATTGCTATGACATTGTGTTTTTTGTTTCAATTGTGAATTTATCATTGGAAGAATGTAGAAATACACAGTTTGTAAAAAAAAAAATGAACTGTTGTGACATTGCTAAACTTACTTTTTAGTTCTAACAAGTTTTGTGTAGTTTGTATAGTGCTTTCATGACAGACAATTATGTTGTTTGCTGAAAAAAAATTTTATCTGTTCTATTTTAATATGTATGCTCCTTTTTGTTCCATTGGACTGGCTAAAGCAACAACAACAACATTAAACTGGAATAATGTGAAGTAATATACTTGCCTTGTTACTGTTCTTAAGGTGAAATGATTTGGTCTTTCATCATTAAGTATGATGTTACATGCAGGTATTATGTAGACATTATTTATTTTATTGGATATCATTTATAATTCTTTGTTTTTATTTTAATGATGAAATTATACTTCTATTTGGTGCTGTTTCTTATTTTGGAAACAGATAATTGGAAGTCCTTTCTCTTTTCTAATGTAAGTAATAAGTGCTATAAATTTTTCTCAAATCAATACTTTATCTGTATATCATAAAGTTAGGTGAATGTGCATTCATTTCCATTCTCAACAAAATATTTTCTAAATTCTCCTGAAATCTTATTTTTTTTGTACTGTGGGTTAAAAGCATGTTGTTTACATTATAAATATTTTGAAAATTTGCAGATTTTGTTACTAATTATGTTTAATTTTGTTTTAAAAAAATAATTCACATCATTTCTAATATTTTTAATTTGTAGGTCTGTTTGATGGCCTGTAATGTGATATGTCTTGGTAAATTTTTTCACTTTCATTTGAAAATATTATGTATTCTGTTCATGGTATCATATTCCATTAACAACACTTAGGTCAAGTCAGTTAGTATTATTCTATTCTATTTCCTTACTGTCTACTTGTTTTATAAATTATTTAGAAAAAGTATTGAAGTTTTTGACTGTAATTTTGGATTTGTCCATTTATTTTTCTAATTCTATCCCTTTTTACTTTATATATTGGGAAATCCTTTTGGTAGTTTCATATACTCTTTGAATTACTTTTTGGAAATTTTTCTGTTTATCAGTAAGCAATATCATCTTTATTACTGGATATCACCTTCTTAATTCTTTTTTCATACTAATATATCTACTCCAGCTTCCTTTTGATTATTACATATTGCCATATGTTTACATTTATATTACCTGTTTATAATCAAACTAGGTTTCCTGTAGACAGCATTCAGTTGTTTTACTTCTTCATTCACAATCTCTTTCGTTCAGTTTCTGCATTTAGATAAGTTACACTTTATGAAAACATTTATTTGATTAAAATAATTTTGCTCAGTTTTTTATTCTTTTATTCCACTGTCTCTGATTGTTTGTATTAAAGAGGATATTTTAAAAAGCCTTTTTGTATCCACTAGTGGCTTATGATTTCTATCCTTTTTTTCAGCAATAAAGTAGTGACTTTAATGGTTGCCTTAGCATTTACAATATATATGTTTAATAATTACCTTCAAATACTGCATCATGTGTCATGTAAGGACCTTATAATACCATATTACCATTTCCACCAGTCCACTATTATTATAATATAATTTAAATTATATTCATGTATGCTATAAAGACAAATACAGTGCTGCTACATTAAAAAATGTTTATGCTTTAGGGAAATTGTATCTTAAAAAATGAGTATTTTTCAACTTTATTAAGTTATAATTGAAAAATAAAAGCTATATGTATTTACAGTATGCTATGTAATGTTTTATATGTGAATATGCTATGAAATCATTAACACAATCAAGCTAATTAACTCTTACCTCATGATTATCTTTTTTTGTGTGAGAATAAGATCTCCCTTAGCATTTTTTTTTACTTATTTGAAAATTTCAACTTTTATTTTAGATATGGGGTTACATGTGTAGTTTTTTTATATGGGCATATTGTGTGATGCTGAGGTTTGGGGGATAGATCCTATCACCCAGGTAGTGAGCATAACACCCAATAGGTAGTTTTTTGATCCATCTCCTTCTACCTTCCTACGCCTTCTAGTTGTTTGCAGTGTCTGTATATCAGTTTGTTCTCATGCGGTTAATAAAGACGTAACTGAGACTGGGTAATTTATAAACTAAAGAAACTCACAGTTCCACATGGCTGGTGAGGCCTCACAATCATGGTGGAAAGTGAAGGGGGAGCAGAACACATCTTACATGGCAGCAGAGCAAGCAAGAGCTTGTGAAGGGGAAATCCCATTTATAAAATCATCATATCTTGTGAGACTTATTTACTACTATAAGAACAGTATAGGGGGAACTGCCCCCATAATTCAATTATCTCCACCTGGGCCCACCATTGATACGTGGGGATTCTTACAATTCCAGGTGATATTTGAGTAGGGACACAACCAAACAATATTATTTTACCACTGGTCCCTCACAAATCTCATGTCCTCCTATTTCCAAACCAATCATGCCTTCCCAACAGTCCCCCAAACTCTTAACTTATTTCAATCTAAACTCAGAAGTCCACAGTCCAAAGTCTCACCTGAGACAAGCCAAGTCCCTTCCACCTAAGAGCCTTTAAAATCAAAAGCAAGTTAGTTACTCCCTAGATACAATGTGGGTATAGGCATTGGGTAAATACTCATGTTCCAAGTGAGAGAAACTGGCAAAAATCAAGGGGCTACAGGCCTCGTGAAGTCCAAAATCCAGCAAGGCAGTCAGATCTTAAAGCTCCAAAATGATCTCCTTTGATTCCATGTCTCACATCCAGGTTATGCTGATGCAAGAGGTGGGTTCCCATGGTATTGGGCAGCTCTGCCTTGTGGTATTGCAGGGTACAGCCCCCCTCCCGGCTGCTTTCACAGGCTGGCTTTGAGTGTCTGCAGCTTTTCCAGCTGCATAGTGCAAGCTATTGGTGGATCTACCATTACTGGGGTCTGGAGGACAGTGACCCACTTATCACAGATCCACTAGGCAGTGCCCTAATAGGGACTCGTATGGGGGCTCCAACATAACATTTACCTTCTGCACTGCCATAGCAGAAGTTCTCTATGAGGGCTCCACCCCTGTAGTACACCTCTGTCTGGACATCCAGGCATTTCCATACATCCTCTGAAATCTAGGTGGAGGTTCCCAAACCTCAATTCTTGACTTCTGTGCACACACAGATCCACACCAGTGTAAACTGCCAAGACTTGGAGCTTGTACCTTTTGAAGCAATGGCCTGAGCTCTGTGTTGGCCCCTTTTAGCCATGGCTGGGATGCAGGGCACGAAGTCCCAAGACTGCACAAAGCAGCAAGGGCCTGGGCACAGTGGATGAAACCATTCTTTCCTCCTAGGCTTGTGATGAGAGGGGCTGCCGTGAAGAATTCTGACAGGCCCTGGAGACATTTTCCCCACTGTCTTGGTGATTAACATTGGTTTCTTGTTACTTGGGCAAATTTCTGCAGCCAGCTTGAATTTCTCCTCAGAAAATAGGTTTTTCTTTTTTATTACATTTTTCAGGCTGCACATTTTCTGAACTTTTATGCTCTGCTTCCCTTTTAAACATAAGTTCCAATTCCAAATAATATCTTTGTGAATACATAAAACTAAATGTTTCAACAGTATCCAAGTCACCTCATGAATGCTTTGTTGCTTAGAAATTTCTTCTGCCAGATACCCTCAGTCATCTCTCTCAAGGTCAAAGTTCCACAAATCTCTAGGGCAGGGGCAAAATGCTGCCAGTCTCTTTGCTAAAACGTAACAAGAGTTACCTTTGCTCCAGTTTCCAACAAGTTCCTCATCTCCATCTGAGACCACCTCAACCTAGACTTTATCGTCCATATCACTATCAGCATTTTGGTCAAAACTATTCAACAAGTCACTAGGAAGTTCCAAACTTTCCCACATTTTCCTGTCTTCTTCTGAGCCCTTCAAACTGTTCCAACCTCCCCCCGTTTCCCAGTCTTAAAGTCACTTCCACATTTTCAGGTACCATTACAGCAGTACCCTACTCTAATGGTACCAATTTACTGTATTAGTTTATTCACATGCTGCTAATAAAGACATATCCAGGACTGGGTAATTTATAAAGGAAAGAGTTTTAATTGATTCACAGTTCCACATGGCTGGGAAGGCCTCACAATCATGGCAGAAAATGAAGGGGAAGCAAGACACGTCTTACGTGGCATCAAGCAAGAGCAAGCTTTTGTAGAGGAACTACCATTTATAAAACCATCAGATATTTTGAGGTTTATTCACTACCATGAGAACAGTATGAGGGAACTGCCCCCATCATTCAATTAACTCCACCTGGTTCCACCCTTGACACTTGGGGATTATTACAATTCAAGGTGAGATTTGGGTGGGGACACTGCCAAACCATGTAAGTCTATTATTTTCATGTTTATGTCTATGTGTGCTCAATGTTTAGCTACCTCGTGTAAGTGAGAAAATGTGGTATTTGTTTTTCTGTTCATGTATAAATTGCTGAGAATTATGTCCTCCAGCTAGATCCATGTTGCTGTAAAGAATATGATTTTTTTTCTATTTTATGGCTGTGTAATATTGCATGGCATATATGTATCACATTTTCTTTATTTAATCCACAATTGATGGGTACCTAGATTGATTCCATGTCTTGTTGTTGGGAATAGTGTGGCAATGAACCTAGGAGTATGTGTGTTGTTTCAATATAATGATCTATTTTCCTTTGTGTATATACTCAGTAACGGTATTGCTGGGTCAAATGATAGTTCTTTTTAAGTTTGTAGAGAAGTCAACCAATTGCCTTCTCAGGTGGCTGAACTAATTTACATTCCCACCAACAGTGTATAAGTGTTCACTTTTATCTGAAGTTTCACCAAATCTGTTCTTTTTTGACTTTTTAATAATAGCTATGCTGACTGGTGTGAGATGGTATCCCATTGTGGCTTTAATTCGTATTTCTCTGATAATGATATTGAAGATTTTTTCATATATGTTTGTTGCTTCTTATGTCTTCTTTTGATAAACATCTATTCATGTTTTTTACTTGGTATTTGTTTTTTATAGATTCCGGATATTAGACCTTTGTCAGAAGCATAGTTTGTGAGTATTTTTTCTCATTATGTAGGTTGTCTGTTTACTCTTTTGATAGTTTCTTTTGCTGTGCAGAAGCTCTTTAGTTTAATTAGGTCCCACTTGTTGATTTTTGTTTTTGTCGCAAATGCATTTGGGGACTTAGCCAAAAATTCTATGCCAAGACCAATGTTGAGAAGGGTATTTTTTGGTTTTCTTCTAGGATTTTTAGAGTTTAGATCTTAAATTTAAAACTTTAATTCACCCTGAATTAATTTTTTGACTATAATGAAAGATAAGCAGTTTCATTCTTCTGAATATAGGTATCCAGTTATCCCAGAACCATTTCTTGAATAGGAAGTCCTTTCCCCATTGCTTGTTTTAGTTTGCCTTGAAGATCAGATGGCTTATTTCTGAGTTTTCTCTTCTGTTCCATTGGTCTATGTGTTTGTTTTTGTACTGGGACCATGCTGTTTTGGTTATTTTAGCCTTATGGTATAGTTTGAATTCAGGTAGTGTGATGCCTCTGTCTTTGTTCTTTTGCTTTGGATTGCTTTGGCTATTTGGGCTCTTTTTTGTTTTTATATGTTAGAATAGTTTTGCTAATCCTGTGAATAACATTGGTAGAGTGATAGGAACAGCATTGAATCAATAAATTACTTTGGGCAATATGATCATTTAAATAATATAGATTCTTATAATCCATGAGCATGAAATGTTTTTCCATGTTTTGTGTGTGTTGACTCTGATTTCTTTCACCATTGTTTTGTAGATCTCCTCGTGGAAATCTTTTATCTCCTTGGTGAGATACATTCCCAGGTCTTTTCTTTGTGGATATTGTAAATGAGATTGTGTTCTTGATTTGGTTCTCCCATGAATGTTACTAGTGTATAAAAATGCTACTGATTTTCATACATCGATTTTGTAGCCTGAAATTTTATAAAGTTATTTATCGATGCTAGTAACCTTTTGGCAGAGTCTTTAGGGTATTCTGGCTATAGAATCATACTATCAGTGAAGAAAGATAATTTGAGTTCTTTTTTTCCTATTTGGATGCCTTTTGTTTCTTTCACTTGCCTGATTGCGCTAACTAGAATATTGAGTATTATGTTGATTGGGGTGGTAAGAATGATCATCCTTATCTTGTTCCAGTTCTCAAGGGGAATGTTTCCAGCTTTTAGCTATTCAAAATGATTTTGACTGTGGATGTGTCATAGATGACTTATTTTTTTGAGGTATGTTCCTTGGATGCCTAGTCGATTGAGGATTTTTATCGTGAAGGTATACTGGATTTTATCAAAACTTATTTCTACATCTATTGAGATGACTATATCATTTTTGCTTTTGATTTGTATATGTGGTGAATTACATTTATTGATTTACATATGTTGAACAAGGAATAAAGTTTACTTGAACGTGGTGTTTTAACTTTCTGGTCTGCTGCTGGATTCATTTTGCTAGTATTTTACTGAGGATTTTTGTGTTTAGGTACATCAGGGACATGGGCCTAAGGTTTCCTTTTTTTGTTGTGTCTCTGCCAGATATTGGTATCAGGTTGAGGCTGGCTTCATATATTGACTTAGGGAGAAGCCCCTCCTCCTTGATTTTTTGGAATAGTTTCAATAGGATTGGTATCAGTTCTTGTAAGCCTGATACAATTTGGCTCTAAATCCATCTGTTTAATGGATTTTTGTTTGTTCGATTGGTAGGTTGTTTATTATTAATTCAATTTCAGAACTCAATATTGGTCTATTAAGGGTTTCAATCTCTTCCTGATGCAATCTTGGGAGATGGTATTTTTTCCAGGAATTTACTCATTTCCTCTAAATTTTACAATTTATGTGCATAGAGTTGTTTGCAGTATTCTCTGAAGATCTGTTGTAGTTTTCTGGTATGAGTTGTAATGTCATCTTTGTCATTTAACATTGCACTATTTGGATCTCTTCTGTTTTTGATAATCTAGCTATCATTTTTTTTTTGAAGGAACAACTCTTGGTTTAATCAATCTTTTGTATGGTTGTTTGCATCTCAATTTTTTCATTTCATCTCTAATTTTAGTTGTTTTTCTCCTGCTAGCTTTGGGGTTGGTTTGCTTTTTGTTTTCTAGATACTTTAAGTGTGATATTAGGTTATTGTGAGATCTTTGTAAGTTTTTGATATGAGCATTTAGCATTATAAACTTTCCTCTTAACATGGTTTAGCAGTGTCCCAGAGATTCCAATATGTTGTATCTTTGTTCTCATTAATTAAAAAATTCTTGATTTCTTTCTTAATTTTGAAGTTCCCTAGGAATTATTCAGGATCAGATCATTTAAATTCTGTATATTTGTGCAGTTTTGAGAGATGTCCTAATGATTACTATTTTTACTGTACTATGGTCCTAGAGTGTACTTGCTATGATTTAAAATTTTTTGTATTTATTGAGACTTGCTTTATGATCAAATATGTGGTCAATCTTAAAATACCTATCTTAAAATACCAATCTAAAATGTGTGCAGATGAGAAAAATGTATACTTTGTGATTTTTCAGTGGATTGTTGTGATGATGTCTATTAGGTCGAATTCATCTAGTGTTGCGTTTAAGTCCAGAGTTTCTTAATTTTCTGCCTCAATGATCTGTTTAACATGGTTAGTGGGCTGTTGTAAGTCTCCACTAGTATTGTGTGGCTGCTAAGTCTTCACAGAGGGCAAGAACAACTTGTTTTATGGATCTGGGGCTCTAATGTTGAGTATATATATTTAGGATAGTTAAGTCCTCTTTTTGGATCATACCCTTTAACATTATATAATGGCTTTTTGTCCTAATTTTTTATCATTTTAAAATCTATTCTCTCTGATATAAGAATGATTCCTGTTCTTTTTAATTTTCTGTTTGCATGATAGATCTTTCTCCAACCCTTTACTTTGAGTCTGTGGGTGTTGTTACATGTGAGATGGGTCTCTTGAAGACAGCAGATGGTTGAATCTTGTTTTTTTTTTTTTTACAGTTTGCCACTCTATGTATTTTAAGTGGGGGCATTTAGTCCATTTGCATTCAGGATTAGTATGGATGTGTGAGATTTTCATCATGTTATTGCATTTTTAGTTGGTTGTTATGTAGACTTGGTTGTGTATTAGCATTATACTGCCTGTGGGCTATGTGCTTAAGTGTGTTTTTGGGGTAGCAGGTGTCATTATTTTAATTTGATATTTAGCACTCCCTTAAGGTCATCTTGTAAGACTGATCTAGTTGAAAGGAACTCCTTCAGCATTTGCCTATCTAAGAAGCATTTTATTTCTCTTTAAATTATCAAGCTTAGTTTGGCTGATATGAAATTCTTGGTTTGGAATTTCTTTTCTTTAAAGATGCTGAAAATAGGCACCTAATCTCTTCTGGATTGTAAGGTTTCTGCTGAGAGGTCTGCTGCCAGCCTGATGGAGGGTCCCTCTTTATATGACCTGATCTTTCTCTTTAGCCGATTTTAAGCTTTTATCTTTTGCATTGACCTTAGTGAATCTGATGACTATGTACCTTGGGGTTGCTCATCTTTTACAGTATCTAGCCAGGGTTCTCAGTATTTCTTGAATTAACATGTCAAACTCTTCAGTGAAATTAGGGAGTATTTTGTTAACTATCTCTTTAAAAATATTTTCCAAGTTGCTTATTATTTCTCCTTCTCTCTCAGGAATACCATGTGTCATAGGTTTGGTCTCTTTACATAATCTCATATTTCAGGAAAGTTTCGTTCATTTTTAAATATTTTTATTTTGTCTGACTGAATTGATTCAAAGAACTGAGCTTTGAGCTCTGATATTCCTTTCTCACCTTGTTCTATTCTGTTCTTAATACTTTTGATTACATTATGAAATTTTTGTAGTTAATTTTTCAACTCTAAAAATTTGGCTTGCTTCTTTAACATGGTTATATTGCATTTCAGTTATTGGATTGTTTTACTGTATTCCTTGGATTCCTTCTATTGTCTTTCAACTTTCTTCTTAATCTCAATAAGCTTCTTTGTCATCTCGATTCTGAATTCCATGTCTGTCATTTTAGTCATTTCAGACTAGTTAAGAACAATTGCTGAGGAGTTAATGGATCCATTTGAAGGTAAGGGAACATTCTGGTTTTTTTTTTTTTTTTTTTTTTTTTTTTAATTGTCAGAGTTCTTGCGCTGATTCTTTCTAATCTGGAAGGGGATGGTTTTTTCTAACTATGGTATAAGTTGAGTATAGTCAATTAGCTTTATTTCTGGATGTTTTCAGAGGGACAAAGCTCTATACAGGGTCTTTATTAGTGGTTGAATTCTTGCCTTTGGTTTCACAGGGAGATATATTAGCAAAATATTTTTGGTGTTGTAGTTTGGGCTGTAATCCAGTAGATGGCACTTAAGAGTAATGGGTGGTTGGTAGGCTCTTATCTGTCAGCTTCTCTATTTCCTCATCCATCCTTATCCATGGATTCATTTGCATCCATGCTCTGCTATGCTGTGGAAAGCAAGATGACCCCCTCACCTAGTCTGCTCCTGGGCCTGGGGGGATTCCCCTCCCATCACTGGCAGTGCACCTGTATTTTTTTTTTTCATTGTTAGGTATCTGGGCAATGGGGCTCCCTGGGCAGAGGTCAAGTCAGGGAAATAGGCCACACCCTTTCCTGGCTGGACTTGTGAGGAGAGGCATGCCCAGCTTCCACTCCAACTTAGGAACCTATGCATCTGACACCTCTCAGTGCTGTGAGAGTGTGGGGTCCTTTCCTGCTCAAGTGCCAGCCACAGATACCAGCTTGGTACTCCTGAGCTTAGCAGTTCTGGGCCTCCACGATTGACTGGTGGCTTCATCCTCTGGACCCTCCAAGTCAAATTCTGGATGCAATGGGGGATCTGAAGTACTCCCAGGCCACTGGGAACATAATCAGGTGAAGCAAAACACCCAGGCTGAGTAGCAGGGGCTGCTCTGTGCAAATGCTCCTGCAGGATGGCCAGACAGGGGACCTGGGAGGGGCTGGTGGGCAGGAGCACCTACAGAACAGATGTACCCTAGTCCCTGGATAAGGTCTTTTATTTTTATTTTTTTGGCTATTCTCTTCCCTAAGCCGCAATAGGTTTTCACAAGAGTAATTTTTGGTGGTCTTCTTTAAGCAGCTCAAAGTTTTTGGAAATAAATGAGATAAGGAGAAAGAACCCAGACAGAGTTTCATACCTATCCTATAGCAGCTGTTATTTCTCTTTTCCAAGTTCTACATGACAAGGGAGGCCTTCTTAAGAATCTTGTCAATCTTATTTGTCAGCACTTGTTTTGGTATATGAAAAAGAGTCTATGAATAGATGTAAATTTCCCTTGTTTATGTGACCATCAGTTTCTATTTTTCTCACTAGTTTTCATTCAGTCTTTAGCAATATGTTAAAATTTTTAATGGAATTTCTTTTACTGATACCTGCTGGAGTTAGACACAAGTAATCAAGTTCTCATCTCCCTTGTCTCATTGGAAACGCCAGTCTTCACTTAGATTTTAGGTTGTTAATCTGTGACCTTAGAAAAATAACAAACTTGCAGATTATCTGGCATTATTTTTGCTTTTAAGAGTGGATTCAGTGTTCTTTCCAGCTTTCTACATACTAAGTGGAAGACAGAACCCAACATTTTTGTTGTGCTTTTTTTTTTTTTTTCCTACTGTCTATTCCTTTCACAGCCATAGTTTCTACCATGACATGGTGAGAGG
This sequence comes from Homo sapiens, assembly GCF_000001405.40. Taxonomy (NCBI): domain Eukaryota; kingdom Metazoa; phylum Chordata; class Mammalia; order Primates; family Hominidae; genus Homo; species Homo sapiens. The sequence continues at coordinate 102,633,097 of NC_000009.12, forward strand.
GACTGGCTAACAAGAGCTGAATAAATTGTGATAACCAAGAAGAACACCTTGGAAGCTGTTTACAGGATGGATCCTTTTTCTGACACACACAGTAGTAGGACAGTTTTACTATCTCTGCCTTTGTGGCTGATTGTTGATTGTTTACCTTTTAAGTTAAAGTTTTATTCTGAGATCATTGTAGATTCATTTATAGTTGTAAGATATAATACAAAGAGCCCATGTTCCCTTTATTCAGTTTCTCTCAAAGATAACCTTTTTCAAAACTGTAGTGTATATCACAGTGAGTATACTGACATTGATACAGCCAAGATACAAAACAGTCCCATGTGGTCATTAGTTTTTGACTCAAAGCGTTCTAACGTTTTCTAATTCTTTTTCCAGAATGAGTCTAGTTTTCTTAGCAAAGTCTAGTTCTGGTTCTGTACCTGTTTCTGATTTGTGCATGTCCATTCAATTGGTGACAAATATCTGGAGATCTGATTTTACAGCCTATGGGATGATGTCAATTGGTAGCATAAAATAAAAATTATCCAGTTATATTTTATGGATTATTAAATTATATATTTATTTTTCTTGAGGATTGTTGTACCTCTATCTTCAGTATGGTATAATTTTCTTGCCAAGCAGAGCTCAGATAACTAAGTGTATGTATATATACAGGTATACAAAGTACTTGCTATAATGGAGAATGGGATGTGTATCTTCAAGATCTTTACCACAGCCAAGCAGTGATTTTGTGCATGTTGTGCCTTTTTGATTCATGATTGTTGTTAAGTCTGATGTTAATAACACAGCTGTGTGTAAATGAAAAAAAAATTATTAACAATAGAAAGGTCATTAAAATTTTATTTTTTAATTTATTTTAATTTATTTATTTTTGAGGCAGAGTCTCACTCTATCACCCAGGCTGGAGTGCAGTGGCATGATCTCAGCTCACTGCAACCTCTGCTTCTTGGGTTCAAGCAATTCTCATGACTCAGCCTCCTGAGTAGCTGGGATTACAGGTGCACACCACCACGGCTGGGTAATTTTTGTATTTTTAGTAAAGATGGGGTTTCACCATTTTGGCCAGGCTGGTCTCAAACTCATGACCCCAAGTGATGAGACTGCCTTGGCCTCCCAAAGTGCTGGGATTACGTGCATGAGCCACCATGCCCGGCCTCCATTAATATTTTATATTGGTCTGTTTATAATTGTACTACTTTTGGGTATATGACCAATTTTCTAACTCACACATGCATGACCTGCTCTCTCTCTTCCTCTCTGCCTGTCTGTCTGCCACTCTCTCTCTCTCTCTCTCTCTGAAAACTCTGAGGTATGTTAATCATATATTTCTGCTCATAATCTGTGCATTTACTAAAGACAAACAAATCTACCATGAAATGAGAGAAGATGTATTAGCCAAGTAACAGTTTTTAGCTATATTGAGGTATAATTGACATATAATTGATATAGAAATAGCTATAATTGAAATAGAAATAACCCAGAAATTAAACCCAGCTATAATTGAAATAGAAATAACGCACACACATACAGTCAACTAAACTTCAGCAAAAAACAAGAATATACAATAAAGACAAGAAAATTATTCTGGCAAATGATGTCTGGAAAACTGAATATTCACACTCAAAGAAAAGAAATTGAACCCCTATCTTATGCCATACACAAAATCAACTTAGATAATTACAGACTTAAACCGAAGACCTGAAAATGTAAAAATCGTAGAAAAAAACAGGGAGAAATCATCATGACATTGAACTCAGCGATGATTTCATAGATATGACACTAAAAGCAGTAAGAAACAAAAGAAAAAGTAAAATGGGACTCTGTCAAATTCAAAAGCTCCTCCACATCAAAGGACACAATCAACAGAGTGAAAAAGCAAACTATGGGTTGATAGAACATATTTACAAACTGTATATCTGATAAGGAATGCAAATGGTCAATAGGTTTATAAAAATGTACTCAACAGCATTAGTCATAAGGAAAATGCAGATCAAATGATATCACCTCACACTTGTTAGGATGGTTTTTAGTTTTTTAAAAAGGTAATAACTGTGATTTGTGTTAATTTGATTGCAGAAAAATTGAAACCTTTTTACACTGTTGGTAGGAATGTAAAATGGCAGAGTAGCTATGGAAATAAGTATGGAATTCCCTCATAAAATTAAAATAGTATTATTATGTGATCTAACAATCCCTGGATATATATATATATCCAAAACAATTTAAATCAGGATCTCAAAGAGGTATGTTCACTGCCATTTGTCAGGCCTCTGAGAAATGTCCCAGAGAAACAAAAAATTAGTGAAGTCAAGAATTAACAGTAAGTTTGAATGCTGACAAGCCATTAATAAAACAAAGTTGTAGGCCTAAATTAACCCACAGTATGACTGGTCTGCAATGGAAGAGAATAAGATATAATGTGTCTTTGTCCATTGTGTGTTGCTGTAACACAGTACCTGAGCCTGGGTAATTTATAATGAAAAGAAATTTATTTAGCTCATGGTTTGACAGTCTGGGAAGTTCAAAAGCATGTCCCTCACTTCTGGTGAGGGTTTCTGTGCTGCATTGTAACATGACAGATAAGGTCAGAGAAGTGAACAAATGTAAAGAAAGAGGACCGAACAGAAGGAGGAATCTTGCTTTTTAACAATGCACTTTTATGGAAATTAATCTGCTCCTAAGAGAACTAATCTTTTCTCTCCAGAGTAAGAACTCACTTACTGTAAGAACACACCAAGCCACTCATGCAGGATTCACCTCCATGATTCAAATACCTTCCACTAGGCCCCACCTCCCAACACCACCAGGTTGGGAATTAAATTTGAACATGAGCTTTGGTGTGGCAAACTCAAACCACAGCAGATGAGATAGGAAGAAAACTCTGCTAGAGTGTTTGTAAGTTTGATAAAATTACAGCTACTATAGTATAACCCAAATGAGGTGAACGGAATTGTTCTTTGTTCGTGATCTCAGTTGATGAGCCAATAATCACAAAAAGAAAATATTTCTGATGTGTAGGGTAGAGTTATAAGCATAGGGATCATATGAGGTCTCTAGACAGTTTTAATTTCTGAAAATTAATAGGATATGGCTCTAATTTTGCTAAGCAAAAAAAGAAAAAAACTTTGTGAATTAACACCTTTTGTCACACCTATGCAAATAAAATTGATCAAATAAAGTATAAAATTGATGATTTTTATATACAAAATTACAGAACAAACTTACGGGATTAAATCTATGTTTTAGGGACAGAAACTTGAAAAGTAGAGAACGTGGGAACAAAACTAACACATTTTCTGCCAACATTAGGAATAAGTGTGAATAGCATATCCCTTGGTAGTAGGTGGATAGGGTGCACTTTACATTCTGAGATATTCCAAACATAACAGGTTTTTTTTTTTTTTTCCAGCTCCCAAACTCAGTTGATTTCTGAGCCTTTCCTATAACGTTATTGACTCTCCAAGGAAAGTATTTTATCACTGACTTTTTAAATGCTGATATCTGAAGACATATCACCTCCTCTGAAAATATAATAATGATCAGGTTTTGTTTATGAGTTAGGGTTTTACTTGTTGCTCAGGCTGCGGTACAGTGGGATGATCACAGCTTACTGCAACCTCAAACTCCTGAGTTCAAGTGACCCTCCTGCCTTAGCCTTCTGAGTAGCTGGGATTATAGGAGTTTATCATCACTCCCAGCTCCCATAAGAATTTTTTTCAAACTTGAATAGACTAACAGCAAGCTTTATAATTTTGGTAATAATGTGTTTTTTAAAACATTGAAACACATCTTGTGTTTTCTATTTCATTATTTAGTCCTTCTAAGTCTGACAATCTTGCATTTCTTGAAAACAAACTTCTAAATTCTTTTTCTCTTAGTTATTTCTTCACTCAAAGCTAATCAGAGATTTTTCCCTGAGGTTTTTCAGAGGAGGTGAAGCCGAGAATGTGTGAGTCCAGAAATAACTAATTTCATGTTTCCAGCCTCATAGTTTTCACAGAATTGAGACAATTGCATTCAGTCCCAGATTCCTCACTTCCACTCTACTGATCCTTTAATATAATCCTATCTTCTTTTAACTTAAATTAGTTCAAATTTGTTTTGTCTTTTACAACTTAGAGTACGCTTACTAATCAAACAATATAGTATATTCACAACCCTATGAAATGTTCAGAGGGTCAAAAAGCAGTGGTAGAGAGAGGGTCCGAAGAAGCTAGTTGGATCTTGTGGTCACTGGATGAAGTAACAAAACTAAACCAATTTTACTAAGGATGAGGGTTGTCACTAAAGACCCACATGTAATTATTATTTAAATAGAAGCTTCACAGTTAATATGATCAACTTCTATTTCCCTTTGTAAATTCAGCATGGCAACTGTCAATCTATCCTATTATGAGACACATACTGTTAAAAACACAGTTCTGAGTCAAGTGATTGATTTTTAGATATAATTTTATTTTGTGACAGTCCTGGATAGAGAGATACAAGATTTTGCCTGATTGGATTACTTTCCACCTGATGGGTTTTTTTTGTTTGTTTGTTTTGAAGTGATGATTTAGCTGCATACCTGGGCATTCAAGTCCAGTTTCCAATCTTCTCTTGACAACAGCTTCATATTATATTTAGGAATCTCAGACTGATGTCCCCAACATGTGTGCTAATTGCACATGTTTTGCAACTTTCACTGTATTGTATGATTTGCATTATGGTTCATTAGTCTCCTCTACAATTTGACTTGGTCCTAAATTAGCCATTAAACGTAGCTGACTGCCTTAACTACTGTCATTATCGATTTGCCTGTCTTATTTTTACTAGATTGATATTCACTATGTTTAATTTGCCTAAGTTTTTTTCTTCTCATTAAATCAATTCTCCTAGTTGTTCATAACAGTGAGGCATATGGGAAACAAAATTCCAATATGCTTCTTTTGTCTTAAGCTCATTTTAGTCAGATCTTACCTGGGGAGAATTTCCAGCTGTTATATACAGCTTTAAAAGGTAGGGATATTTATCTAACAGTTGAGGAGAATAGCAATTTGGGAAATACATCAATGATTGACATGGGTAAAAGAGAGAAAACATAATACCTTTAAATTCATTAAAAATATAGTCTTTATTGTTTTTTCATATTAGTGAAAATAAATTCATTTTAGAATAGAAATACCAGTACAGACCTCTTTTTCTGGCCATTTACATCCTAATAGAGTATTTCCCAACTTTCCAAATGTATTTATACTTTAAAATTTTATTATTGAATGTTTTTCTTTGCTGATATTTCATCTTTTAGAAGTAAGACAAAAACCAGTTAATTGTCTAAGTAGTTAGCTCTTAGATGCCTGTGTGGATCCACGGTTTTGTAATCCCCCTCCTCCTTAAAAAGAGAGAGGAGAATAGTAGGCACAGGTTAGCAGGGACGAAGAAAAGTTATCGCAATTGGGAAGTCTCTGATTGTGGGAACAGATTAAATGAGTTTTGCCAACCTTACAATTTAAACTAGAACTCATAACTATAAGCTCTTTGATCCACATGCCTTGAAGGAATGGTATTATTATGCATATCATTATACATAAAATGGTATCAGAATATTTGATGCTTCTTTGATGTAGGAATTCAGTTATACTGCAGTGAAGTTCCTACTGGAAAGCCAGAATAAATACTTAATACTTTTCCTTTAGATATTGTTTTTATTAAGAAGATATTTTAATAGTCATGTTAAATAGCGACATACCATTTTTCCTGCTCTTTTGTTCTTTTTTCTGAGTATCATATAGATTCCATAATTTTCATTCATACTTCTATGTGTGTCAGTTCATTAGAATTCTTATACTTAATCCTCACTTTTTCCAAATAATTTTTTTTCAATCAAGACTTTATTAATAAAGTTCCACTGTGTCTACTTGACACGACCCTGTTAACTTTTGAAAGTTTCATTTTTTTCTCATCTGAGAAAATGTTGCAGGGTCATCTAGGTTTTTTTCTGTTCCCAGACCTAGAATCAGCCACTTTCTCAAGGAATCCAGGTTCCTTGAGAACATCCTTTCAGTGATGATTGTGTTACAGAGTGTCTTCTGTAGTTTGGAAGTGTTGTAATTTCTGCCTTGTAAAATCACTGTTTGCTGTGTAGTTCATAGCTATTATATCAATATAAAATGTCCTCTCAAACTTTGAAATTTCTTTTTGTGGGTCTAATTCTACCTTTAGTGATCCAATTATCATGATCTTGTCTTCATTCTGATTTTCATTTGTCTGACATATCTTTGCCCATCTTTCTATGCATATTATTTCTGAGTTTTTTGCTTTAGATATGTCTCTTATATTTAACATACAGTTAAATTTGACTTTGTAATTCATTCAAAATTTTTTTTCCTTTTAAGTCAATTTACATTTCCTGATATAACTTAAAAGTTGGTTTTAAATTTTGTCATATTATTTTCTTATTTTTAATGTATGGATTTGCAAATAAAAAGTAAATCTAAAATAATATATGTAAATAAAAACACATTCTCTATGTCATATATCATATCTTTTCTTTATTGTTTGCTTGTATTTCTAAATATGAGACCATTTATATATTTGTTATCATGGCTACTTTTATCCTAATATTATATGTATGTATCCTAATGTCTATATATAATATTACTTATATCCTAACATATATTTTATCCTAATATCATATAATGTATCTTAACAATATATTCACCTCCCATACACACACACACATACACTCACAAATAAACACAAACATTTAACCGATTTTTGCCATATCTCTTGGTTACCTATTATGATCAACAACATTTTCTTACTACATCTCGCTCCTTTCTCTCTGCTTGTTTTCTCCTCCTGATTCTGTGTAGCAAATAATAGTTTGATGCTATTTTATTGAATATGATTACTCTTATTAATTTGTCAGTTTAAAATGTTGTATTTATTCTCGCATACTACCTAAAGGAACTAATGAACTTATTTTTCATGTTCTCCTCTCTATTCTCTTATTTTTATCCCCTCTAATTCTTAACCACTTATCCATATGACATTTGCACTTATTTAGTTTTAATTGTCTGACTACAGATTATTTTATCTTACTATGTAATAATCATGTTTTATGATAATAGCCACAGGGTTTTTTTTTTTTTCCTTTTTAATCCTTATGATTTACATTTCTTTGGCCTAATTTAAAGAACACCAGTAGAGCTTTGAAAGAAAAAAGGCAGGGGAGAGGGTGGGAGAATTTTAGGTATTGTCTAGTTCCTGATCTCATAGCGATACAGGAGATAGAAATAAATTATTTTGGCAGATAGTGAAAGTAAAAGAGTCCTTGGCAATGCTTCCCTTCTAACTAAAAGCAGCTCGAGCACTTTTTTTTTTTTCTCCTAACAAAGAGCAGCCTGAAAAATGGAAATGCGAACATAGAGAAGCCGGAAGCTTGCATGAGGGAATGCAGCAGCTGCGCCAATAGAAAAGAGCTACCTGGTGGCCAGGCATGTCCAACATGGAGGCTCCATCTTCCCTTTTTTGTTACCACGTGTACAGTAAAGGAATGGGCAACATGGTACCAGCCAGGCAGCGAACCCATCTGCATAATAAAAGTGTAGGCTGGGGGAGGCCAGAAATTCATGCCCTATGCAAATGGCACACCTAGTCCTAACCAGTATCTCACTCCTCATGCAAAGAACACACCTGATCTGACCAATCTTGCACGCCCCATGTAAACCAGACACCGCCTCCTCAAGCTTATCTCTAAAACCCCCTGCATTTCACCCCGAAACCGAAACCGGCAACCCGTTCAGGACCCCTCTCTCTGCAGGAGGGAGTTCTTTCCTTTCTTTTGCCTATTAAACTTCCACTCTTTACCTTACTCTTGTGTGTCCACGTCCTTTTTTTCCATGGTTGTGGAACACTGAACCTCAGGTATCACTCCAGACAACGAGGCCATTTCAATAGGAAAAAGTTTCAATAAATGACTATTAAACGTGATCTATTTTTAAATTTTAGTCATTGCCATTTTTACTTCTAGAATTTTTATTTGATGCTCTTTTTAATAACAGCTTTTAGATATAATTCACATACCACAAATTTATCCTTTTAAACTGTACAATACAGTGTACATATTTTCAAGGTTCATTTTTGTTTCAGTATGTATCAACAATTCCTTCTTTTTTATTGTTGAATAATATTTCACTGTTTGGATATATCACATTATATTTATTTAACAGTTATTGGACATTTGGAACATTTTCACTTTTCAGCATTATGCATAATGCTGTTATAAACATTTGTGTGCAAGTTCTTCTTTGAATATATATTTTCAGTACTCTTGGATATATACCTCAGACTGCAACTGGTGAGTAGTATGCTTACTGTATTTTTAACATTGTGAAGAACTGCAAAACTCTTTTCCAAAATGGCTGTTAACATGTTACTATGCCACTAGTAATGACACATAGTTTAGTATTTCTTTTTTTTTTGGAGTCAGTCTCACTCTGTTGCCCAGGCTGGAGTGCAGTGGTGCTATCTCGGCTCACTGCAACCTCTGCCTCTTGGGTTGAAGCAGTTGTCCTGCCTCAGCCTCCCAAGTATCTGGGACTATAGGCACACACCATCACACACGGCTAATTTTTTGTATTTTAGTAGAGACAGAGTTTCATCACATTTCCCAGGCTGGTCTTGAACCCCTGAGCTCAGGCAATTTGCCTGCCTCAGCCTCCCAAAGTGCTAGGATTATAGGCATGAGCCACTGCTCCAAACCTAATATTTCTATATCCTTTCCTCAACGTGTTATTTTCTATATAGTCATTGATTTTAGCTATCCAATTGGATATGAAATGATACCTCAATATGATTTTAGTTTGCATTTCTCTAATGACTAATGATTTGCATTTCCCATGTGTTTATTGGCCATTTGTTTGTCTACTTTGAAAAATACTTCTATTTAAATGCTTTGCCCTTTTACAATTGGACTATTTGTCTTAAACTTTGAGTTGTAAGTGGTCTTTTATTTCCTGCATACAAGTTCTTTATTGAAGATATTAATTGCAAATATTTTCTCCCATTTCTTAGATTGTCTATTTCTAAGAATAGATCTAATTCTAAAAATTAATAGATTTTATTTCTTAAAGTTAGATTTACAGAAAAATTTTTAAAAAGTACAGAATTCCCTCTCCTGGTTTATAGTTTCTCCTATTGTTCATGTCTTACATTGGTATGGCTCATTTGTGGAAATTAATGATACAAAAGTGATATATCATTATTAAGCAAAGTCCATTGTTTACACTAGAGTTCACTCTGAGTTGTGTAGTTCTGTGGGTTTTGCCAAATGCATTGTGTCATGTTGCATTAAAGTGTTCCTGGGATTTTGGTTTTACTGAGATGTGGTGAGGGCAGCAGATCAGTAGATGATTGCTATTAAAAAGACAGTTTATTACAGTTCCCAAGAGGAAGGTAAGCAAGGTATGGTCACAGGGGAGAACACCAAACTCAGTTGCAGGCAGAGAGGGAAAGCTAGGCAAACTGCTTGAAAGTCTTATGATTTTTGTGGGAAGAAATGGGGGAGGCAGTGTAAACAGGATAATGAGGTTTAAGATTGGATAGTTTAAATAATTTCACCAGTATCTCAGGTATAAGGGATGCCTCTAGGTGTCTGATGCCTAGGGAAGGGATCTGATGTCAAGGAAGGGAACTAGTGTCACAAGTGTAATAGCCCAATAAAGCTAGTGGGTGGGGAGTATGGGCTCTGAATTCGTTAGTTTGCATATGAAGCACAGGCACACAGGAGAATTCCTTACTCTCTCCAGGAATCTGTTAACCCTAAGAGAGCAGTACTGTCCTAGTCAACAAGACCCCAGGTGTCAAAATATCAGACTCAAAAACTAGAAAACATGGTTAATATACATGTATCTACCATGACAGTATCATACAGAATTGAATCCTTTCATTATCCTAAAAATCCTGTGTTTCACCTATTTATCTCTTTTTCTCCCCTCAAGCTCTAGCAATCACTGACCTTGTAATTGTCCGTATTGTTTTGTCAGAGGCTTTTACACCAGAACAACTCCATCTTGAAAAGGAGCTGGGTGAAATGAGGCTGAGACCTACTGTGCTGCATTCCCAGACGGGTAAGGTATTCTAAATCACAGGATGAGACAGGAGGCTGGCACAAGATACAGGTCATAAAGACCTTGCTGATAAAACAGTTTGCAGTAAAGAAGTCAGCCCAAACCAAGATGGCCACAGGAGTGACCATCACTGCTACATTTCCAAGTATGCAGCCTTTTCAGGTTGGCTTTTTCCACAAAGCAATATACATTTAAAGTACCTCATTGTATTTTCATGGCTTGGTAGCTCATTTTTTTATTGCTCAATTATATTCCATTTCATAGGTGTATCAAAGTTTATTGATCCCTTCACCTGTTGAACTGCTATAAACCTTCATGTGCAGGTTGTTGTGTGGACATCAGTTTTCAACTCATTTGGGTAAAACAATGAGAACCAATGGTGCATCACATGATGATGTGCTTAGCTTTGTAAGAAACTGACAACTTAACGTGGCTGTACCATTTTGCATTCCCATCAGTAATGAATTAGAATGTCTGTAGCTTCAATCCTCTTCAGTATTTGGTATTATAGTGTTTTGGATTTTAGATGTTTTAATAGTTGTTTAGGTATCTTGTTTTTAAAATCTGTAATTCCATAAATGACATATGAAGTTGAATGTCTTTCATGTGCTTATTTGCCAACTGTCTACTTTCTTTGGTGATGTGTCTTTTCACATGTTTCACAGATTTTTTAACTGGCTTAAATATATAGTTTGATAGAAGAAATAAAACTTAGTTTAGTGGGGTGACTATAGATTCTAATTATCTATTATATAATTCAAAATTGCTAGAGGAAATAATTTGAGTAGTTCCAGCATAAAGAAAAAACAAATATTTATGGTAATAGATATCCCAAAGTACAAAGGTTTGAGCTTTAAAACTTATATAAATGTATTGTCACATGTAGCCCAAAACTATGTATATCTCTTATGCATCAGTTTTTAAAAAATCACACTTTTGCTGGTCATGTACACAGCCCTGAACATGTGTGCAGTATTCTACATTCTCAGGAGTAAATCAGAGCTTTACAAAGCTTTCTATGGAAATCTTATTCTCCTACTACTTCTTTCAAGTGTTTCAGCTAGCATCTTGTTAGCAACAGCTGTTGTAGCCACCTCAAGCAGGTTTAATGTTAAACAGTTGTCATTGATTGTTTTCTACAAATGCACTGAAGACAGGACTGTTTGCATAAAGGAAACTCTAAGGTCAAATAAAAACAATCTGTGAGAATAAGGCATTTTCAGAGAGCTGCCAACAGGTGAATAGTGATAATTATCTGAGAGATGACCATTTTCATCACGATTTAAATACGTTCTGCTCCTCCAATGACTAGCAGGCTGCTGTTTTCCAAAACCACCATTGTTGTAAAGTTTTTGTTCTTCTGTTTTTTATGGCTACTGCAGAACTGGGGACAGGTGAGTTTAGGGTAAGTTAAACATCACAAAGCTTTCTAATCTTACCAGGATTCAGCCATTTTATTTTTAATACCGCTTTTTTTGGATTGTTGTAAATCTTTAACTTGAAATTCTGGAAAAGTCCGTTTTTACTCTTTTTTTTTCAAAATTCTCTTTTTTTTTTTATGGAGAAGCAGACTTTAACAAGTCCTTATTCTGTCATTCCAGATATTTTTCTTGTTGATTGCTTTTTATAGAATCCAATTTTCTCATAAGATTTTTCATGTTCTTATCTATGTTCTCCTTGATTTCATATTTTGAACATAATTATAAGTTATTTAAAATTTTTTTTACTATTCCAATATATGGATTACCCATTAATTTGTCTTTTTATTTCTTTTCATTCATATGATCTTCTTTTTGCAATATCTAGCATTTTTTGAGTGATATACCATTGCATATCCAAAATTATACGGTATCTAGATAATATTGTCTTCCCCTGGAGGTGATATACTCTTTCTTGTTCTAGAACAATAAAGTGTTGCTGAATCACTTCTATCTAATTAGAGACGAAGTTAGTTTAGGCCTGGGTTCTGTCTACCTTTTAATCACCTGTTTATGAGACATAGCCCTCCACATTCTTTTCTGATTTGGGTTCACTACTATCAACCTGAAATGATTAAAACAAAATCATAATCCAGGTTTAAAGAATTTATTCAAGAGAAGAGCTGGGGATACCCATCAGGAAAAAAACATACCCCACAGAAATGGGATCAGTGCTCTAAAGTTAAAAGTCAAGGTCTTGCTTATATAGGCCGAAAACAAAAATATTTAGTAGGATTATACATTTTCTATACTTGGCTGGTTTATGAAATATAACAATTTAATAAGTTACAGTTTGTCTTATTTTCACTGCAGCTTGCTTTCTTTTTAATTTGAAAGATTGTATTTAACATTTCATCTTAAGATGAGGTGATATTCATGAAATCATTGTGTAAGTTGGGTAAAATGAAAGATAATATATAATGAAGATCAACAGTGAAGGGCGAAGGAGTCTTCCCTGGCACCCTTTAGTCATTTACAACATTTTCCAAAATAATGTAAGTAAGGAAAAAGGCTAATTCATAATTAGAGAGACAAAGGTTACAACTGCCTAGGTTACAGATACTTGTCAGGTGACTCAGGCCCCATAATCATACTTTGTTAAGGCTCAAAATAATTTAACGTTCCAACAGCATAGATTTTGAATTACTTATTTTCACATTACCAACCTTCCCCACTTTCTTGAACCATGGACATTTATTTGTAAGGCAAAACTCAAATTTTCATTCTATACACCATTCTTTTTTGTCTCTATGAAAAAAATAGAAACTATTCCCAGGAGCAATGTAGCTTCACGATTTCAGCATACCTCTTTGATGTTCTCACTTCTTCAAAACCTTTGCCTCTGTGTTCCTCATTTCATGAGCTTTCTAATGCCTTAAAATAGACTTTTGTTTTATATTTTATAAATCCAAAATTGTTATGTTTAGCAGCAGTGTTTTCAGCATTTTATGTGGAAGATCATATGTAGATGCAGCAGTTCTAATTTATTTTTTTTCTAGCCAATCATAATGATTAGATTTTCTAAAGACAATCATAAGTACGAGAATTCAATACAGAGAAGAAGGGGCTGGGGAATCTTTAGATCTGAGAATAGGTTTTATATTCACTTTCCCCAGCTCTCTAATGGATGCCCCCCAACCTTCTCTCTTTCTCATAAATGCTTAGAGTAATGCCCATTATTTCCATTTATTCTTTTATTCTGGAAAAGTGTTTCTGGGTTCTGCTTATATTTGTTATTCTCAGATTTTTCCTGCCACTCGACCAACAAATTTTGTGTAGCCTCTGCTAGTTTGAGGTTGTTTAGTTTATAAGTTTAGTTTATTTAATCTTCTGACGTATTTTAAAGAAAAATATAGGCCTCATGTCATTTCACCCATACAATACCAACAATCATCTTTGGAAGGCAAGGGCAGCATTTATTCCATTAAAATAAAGTGTGACATATTATAAAGTGTTGTTATTGAGGAGGTTTTTGTTTGAACAGTGCACACATACATACTATACATGTGATGGTTAATACTGAGTGTCAACTTGATTGGATTGAGTGATACAAAGTATTAATCCTGAGTGTGTTTGTGTGGGTGTTGCCAAAAGAGATTAACATTGGAGTCAGTGGGCTGGGGAAGGCAGATCCACCCTTAATCTGGTGGGTACAGTCTAATAGCTTCCAGCAAACATAAACCAGGCAGAAAAACGTGAAAAGGAGAGACAGGCCTAGCCTTCCAGCCTATGTCTTTCTCCCATGCTGGATGCTTCCTGCCCTGGAATATCAGACTCCAAGTTCTTAGACTTCTAGACTTGGACTGGCTCTCCTTGCTCCTCAGCTTGCAGGCAGCCTATTATAGGACCTATTGATCATGTAAGTTAATACTTAATAAATTCCCATATATATATATATATATATATATATATATATATATATATATATATTAGTTCTGTCCTTCTAAGAGAAACCTGACTAATACACACGATTTCTACTTTACATTTTTCCCACAAAATATCACATTTTTCACTCATGTCTGCATTAGAAGCTTTATTCCCTTATTTATTGAGTTATGTTATTTCTTCATATTCTATATTGATTGTGAAGCATATGATAGATATTTCATTCTTATAAAGGATTAATTGCAAATTAAGGTATATTTAAGTCTTAATAATATCAAACTTACACTTTACAATTTCACTGCTTTTGTATGTGATCTCATATATCTAATTTTCCTTGGTTTCTCTTTTAGTTTGTTTTTTTTTGTCCTAAACTGACATATTTAATATTTATTATCTTTCTCTGATTCAAAGAATTTGTTTTCAACATGCTAATGAAAAGGTGTGGTTTACATCAGTAAATTGTTCAGTTAGGAAAAATCCATCCTGTGAAAAATGTAATGAGAAAAAGTAGAGTAATCCTATAAAAACTGAAAAACATTATGATACACACATGAACACATACATGCATGCACATGTATCTGAGAAAATTTAATATAGACTGGAACTAGATAACAAGAAGTATATTTATATTTTAGATATAAAAATGACTGGTTATATACAAAATAGTATTCTTATACTGCAGATAACTTACTTACAAAATTCATTTTAATTAAAACCAGGAATTAGAATAATAGTAAAATATTTCATGCTAGAATTTTAGATTATGTTGGTCAGTTTTATTTATTCTCATTTTTGTTTTGTTTCTTATTTTTACATATGCCATTAAATGGAGGAAAGTATGACACAATGCTAGTAGTATCTTCAGGTAATTGTTTCAAAATTGGTTCTAGTGAATTAACGAAAGTATTTAAAATATTGAGAAACCTGTCATTATTTACTAATTCTATTTGGAATAACCTAGACAGCAATAAATCAAGCAAAATGTGCAGAACATCACAAAATGATTAACTCATTCTCTTCAATGAATTATATCACTCTTTTTGTGTACAGATTTTCCAGCATCAAATTAAATTTTAAAATAATTACACTGGTTATGAGATTGGTAAACATGCATTCTAAGGCATAGCTGTGCTATTTTCTGGCAATGTTCTCTTTGATAAATTACTTATTCAATCATTATTTATTTAATTGTAAAATAAACATACAGAACACTTGCTATTTCAACACATAACACTATTTCACTAGATAGGTTATTTTATTTAATTCTCTCAATATTGTAAGAAGCAAGGCATTGATAGCTTAATTTTATACATAATAAGATACCAAGAGTAACTCATTGTATGTGTGTGTGTGCACATGTAAATTATTGATATAATTTTAGACTTATAGAAAAGTTACAAAAATAGTGTATATAAATCATATATCCTTTATCCAGAGCCACCAATTATAAAGTTTCCCATTTATCATTATTCTCTTTTTTCTGTTTTCTCTCTTCTCTCACTTTCTTCCTCACTCTAAGAGTATATGATTTTGTGTATATATTTTAAAATCATTTGAGTGTAAGTTAGGAACATAGTACTCATTTATTCCTTAGTACTTCACTATGTATTTACTAAGATTGAGGTTTTTCTATTATATACCACAATATAGCTATCAAAATCAAGATATTTAATATAAATGCCATGCTATTATCCATATTAGATCCTGTATACAAATTTATTTTATTGTTCCAATATTGTGTTTTAAATTTCTTTTGTTTTTCCAATCCTGGAGCTAATCCAGAATCACTTACTGCATTTACCTGTTATCTTTCTGAGACATCTATTATATAAAACAGTTCCTCAGATCTTCCTTTTCTTTTATTGTAGAACATATTATAATTGAAAACATTAATAATTATATATGACATGGCAAATGTCAGGATAGCAGTTGTTGGTAAAATGGTTTGTTATAATTAAATGAGATGCTACATGTAGGAAACATTCAGTGAAACAATATATCAAAAATAGTCTATTAATTTATTCTAACAGTAGTATGTGTGATATACTAAAAAATTAACTAAAAATTAACTAAAAGCATTGACTATTTGGAAAGATATCCATTTAAATGGTTGAAATTATTTTAGAGAATAATTTCTATTCTTTACATTATCATTGATACATCATATTCAAAGTTGTGTTTAGATGTAATTAAAAGAGTAATCACCTGATTGACTAACCAACTAATATAATTAATTTTTCATCTCTTTACCTTTTGTTTTCTGTTTCTTTGAAGTTATGTTTGTCTTGAAATATAGTTTCTAATCACTTTTTGTAAAGTATCAATTCCACTGTGTCTTAGCTATGTGAGGTTGTTCAAGTTGTAATTTCCATTTTTATTCGTCACTTATTTAAATTGAGTCTAAGTGATAGTTCCTTTCCCCACGAGGAAGCGAATAGTAAATATTCAAATGGCATTCAAAATATTTGTTTAATTATTTATGAATTGCACCATTGGTTGTAAATTAAGATCAGATACTTAAGATGCACATATACATGAGTTAAAATCAAGTTACTAACTGTTTGCCTTATGGCAATTTGAGGCTCTTGAAATCCCCATTTCCTTAGTTGTAAAATAGAAATGATAATAATATCTATCTTATAGAGCTTTGGATATATTTAACTAAAGTAATGCACTTAAAGTGATTAGCCTGGTGTCTCAAAAATGGAAAGCGTTCAGCTGGATATTCCTATAGGCCACATATTTATGTTTTTTTTCTCTGTGAACCTCAGAGGATAGTTCAAAATAATTTTTTTAAACACTTAGAGCTGTGTAATAAGGAAATATATTGCCTGTGAATGCTCTACATTGAAAATAATAAGATTCTGTAAGAGGTACTAAAGAGTCTATTTCTCCAGTCAGGCTAAGCCCTCTAAGCTTTCTATTAAGACTTTTTTAACATTAGATTTTATGATGCTATGACTTTATGTTCAATATCTGAAGATTAGCTAGAGATCAGTTTAAGAGAATTTTCTTATCATAAAGTAGGCCCATTGAAATTTTTAATACTGATTAACATTAAATTTTATAAGACTTTAGAATATTCCTCAGGGACCTTTTTTTGTTTGTTTTTATTGTTATGCTTCACTCTTCTGGAATGTGAGCAGCATATATTAAATGAGGACACAAGAAAAGTATCTTGATAGTTTTAATGATCTGGTCAGATTAATATTTATTATATGTTATAGTAAGCAATATTTAATTATGATAAAATAATAATGATTATAACAGATGAAATGTAGTGAGCACATACTATTTGTTAAGCACTATTGGTAATTTTACATATTTCACTTATCCTTATCACAATTTTATGATAATATGGGGAGTTTTATTATCATAATTTTATTACAGAGAAATATTAATTATATATAGATTATATTATCTCCCAAATCAAATTAGTAATGAATTAGAAAGCATTCAAACCCAGATCAGCTGACACTATATAAACCACTCTTTTCTTCCTATACTAGATTTTCAAAAATTTGCCCTATCAGTGGGTTGTCTAAACAATATTGCATTGTCAAAAACTTTGAACCCATTACCCTTTTACATCACAATGGTAAAATATCTTTGGCAGCCGTCAGCATAAATCAGATAGAATTATATATAAGGAAATTTATTATCTCACAACACTGGAAGTCCAACGATAAGCTTCAAGGTTGAATTAATTCTAAAGAATTTATTTTGGTTTACTTCTCTATGATTTTTCCTCTATCCTCAGGCTAGTAGTCAGAGAAATGTCTCATACTTCTGAACAAGATTCAAAAACGGATTAACAAAAAGTATATAGCATCTCTTCCTGGGGAGCTATTAGCATTAAAATAATCACAAAGACCTCAGGAAACTATTATATTTAATTAAATCCCATGCCCATTTATAAATGAATGTCTATCTAAAGGCAATATCATGCAATCATTGACTTAGTTCTATGACTCAAACAAGAAAGATAAGATGACTATGATCAGCTTAGGCTACCAGAGCACACAGGATGCCGGAACCTACTTACAACACGAAGTGAAAGAGGTGGAAGGAACTTTGTGGGGAGAAGACCTATGTTCACTAGAAATCTTTTTGATATTTACCACACATATCAACATAATAAATGTTCTGAGAGCTCCTAAATTAAAGAAACCCATTTAATTTCAAACATCTAAATATTTTCCAAAATTATATGACTGTGGTTGTTTCATAAGGTAGTTATTAGCATAGCAGAATACAAAAATGTCCATTGCAAAATTTGGAGATATTTTGTTCTATCTTAATAATTATCAAAATAAATTATAGGAAATAAAAATTGTTTCCTAGCACGCACACACATACAGTCATACGACAGCATAAACTGCAAATCTGTGGCTAAAAGGTTTACAAGTTATTTATCATTTGATTTTGACATACAACGGAATTTGTACAGTGACTGAAATACATCTGAGCAATGTTCTGACTAAAGCTGCACGAAATTACAAAGATTTAAGTATGGTCAATGAAGAACTTGGAAACAAAACCTGCAAAAGTAATTTAAAATTATCTGTCATTAAATCTGTTGAAATTCATAATCTCAAGTAATATCCCTTGATTTACTTTCTTTTATATATGTGTTTGCCATTGTAATTCAAGACTTTTACTCAAAAATTGTAGAAAGAAATTCTACTCAGTATGTCTTCCACACATCATCTAAAATCTGTCAAAAAATCTAGGAATAGTAGTGTCTGAACTTGTGATGACTTGAATGTAGAAAATGTGTCAGAGTCACACAGTACTTTTGCGTATGTTATCTGATATGATACTCGCAGTAACCTTATAAAGTAGCTACTATTGTCATCATTTTTGCACTTCAGGAATATTAAGCTGCATTACTTTCATTTTCTAAATTAAAAAGTAATTATAAAAATCAAGCTAATGAAGACCTATAAAATCAGGTCATATAAGTTTTAGATAAAGGACTAATACAATTCTGCGAACAGAAACAAAAGTAATATTTAACACTTGGCCACAGTTTGTCAACAACCTACATAATTAAAATGAAACCTCTTCTGAAACTCAGGACCTTAGCCTACCTGATATCTTTCACCTGGGATGCTAACAATTTTTATAGCATTTATATTTAACAATGGCAGTGATTAAAATAAAAAGATACAATGACAGTGACTATTGATCATATACTGTGTGCTAGGTGCCTTATGCACATTACACATTCTTCTCACAATAACCCTGAAGGGTTGGAATCATTATCTATCCAATGACAACTCAGAATCAAATAATTTAGAAATTTATTTAAATCCTTAGACTCACAGTGAAGATGTAAAACTCATTTCAAATGTTTGAGAAACACTCAAAATAAATCTTTGCTCTAGAATAGTAGTCAATTTATAAATTACCAAATAATCTGACTTCTAAACTTTGATTAATTATCAATAGCAACAATTTAAAAGAGTTAATTTAAAGAAAATACCTCATTTTTCCATGTGGTTTTGTTACAGTGGGTAGCTGCAGACATGAGCTGGGCAGGAGAGGCCTCTTCCTAACAGGAATGTCAGGTGACCATCAGATGATGGTCAGGCGGTTGTTAACTGTCTCTCTAAAATAATAATCGGTCACAGCTGGTGCAAGGGAACGGCGGTCTCCCAACAGATAGAAAACATCTGAAACTGGTGATCAGCAGCTTTCTGATAAGATCTCAGGAGTTGGGCAAACGGGCTCAAGCATACACATTAAGAGGCAAAATAGCAGAAATTAACTGGTATATGACTTCCTAGGGACATTCAACTGGTAAGGGAAGTACTCCTCAAGTGAGCAAGCGTACAATTCCAGTTAAACACAGTGCGCATATTACCTCTGCAAGCACTAGCAGCCACTGGGCATGTGGACAGCCCACACCAAGAGAAGAATCAGGGGAGAAGGAACACAAGACCCAAGAAGTGTGCCTACATATATTAATAAAACCCCAAGTCAAAAGGTCAAACCATGCACTTGATGTCTCAAGTCTCCCACTTGGCCCTCTTACAGGTATACTTTACTTCCTTTCATTCCTGCTCTAAAGCTTTTTAATAAACGTTCACTCCTGCTCTTCTTCTGCCTTATGTCCCTCAGTCAAATTCTTTCTTCTGAGGAGGCAAGAATTGAGGTTGTTGCAGACTTGTAAAGATTTGCCACAGATAACCTAACTTTGGTGCCACGTGGCTCAGGTTCTGCCATTAACAGATTGAACACAGATATGGCAACTAGGGTTTCTCAACTTCAGGACTATTGACATTTTGAAGCAGATAACTTTTTTGTGTGTATGGCTGCACTGAGTGATACCTATTGTAGAAAAAAAGAATGATAATTAAACAGTGTAGGCTAAAAAAAGTGTGAGGGGGAAAAGGAGGGAAAGAAAAATGATTAAAGAACAGAGATTTTATTTGAGGAAAAATAGGATATACTTTGGTAAGGAGCAACGAGACTCAAAAACTGATTGGATCATTTCCATGAATTTAAGTAAATTCAGCTGACCCTCTTTGCCAGTAAAAGTCAAGAGTATGAATGAGGCGCCTTCAAGTTTTGATGTGCATTGGTATTCTAAAGATACTTTACATAAACTCCAATTCCAGAGTCCAAATGTCAGAAATCCTAATTAAGTCTGCCATTCTAATACCACCAGCAGAACTCCAGGTGATTCACTGGTTAGAAATACAAACGCTCTGACAGGAGTCCGTGTGAATACAGCCAGTCCTCATTTAACATCATCAACAGGTTCTTGGAAACTGACTTTTAGCAAAAAGACATAATGAAACGAATTTTGTCATAGGTTAGTTGATATAAACAAGAGCTAGGTTTATATGACATATTTCTGGTCACTAAAACACTGCCAGACTTATATGTAAAGACCAAAACACTTCTAATATTAAACATTGAAATGTGAGCTCCACATACATTTAAGAAAGATTAATAAAAACAAGTACAATTATTATTTACCCAATTATTCTGGTTCTGGGTGACCACTGGCTGGGGCTTATTTGGGCATGCAGGGTGAAAGGTGAGAGCCAGCCCTGGACAGGACGCCATCCCATTGCAGGGTGCACTCACACATACACCCACACGACATACACACTACAGCTGGGACAATTTAGGCATACCAATTAGCCTAATGTGCATATTTTTGGGATGTGGGAGGAAATGGGAGTACCTGGTGACAACCCACGCAGGTGTGGGCAGAATGCACAAATCACATACAGACAGTGGTGCCAGAGGGGGATATATTTTTTTAATTGCTATTATAACAAAACAACATTGAACAAAACAACATTTGAGAATCCATTATGTTTGGGTTTTAGATATCAAGATTATTTCCAGGTGGTGGTATCTTGTAACTAGGAACAACTGTTAAAAGATCGAGGTACAAATACTTAGACTACCAATTATGGGGAAATACACAACTTAGAAATCACTGGGAAAACCTCCTCTTACAGATGACAGAACTAACGTGAAATTTCAGAATGAGTGCTGTAAGTTCTTCTGACACAGAAACCACCTTGAGGGAAGGTAGAAAGATTCTTCATAACTCTCCCACTGTACATAGCCCAGCTCAACAGATGTGGCACCAAAGTTCACCTGAAAGTGTATAGCTATTCTCCCTAAACAGTATTGCTGTTTTCAAACAGGCAGTATATAAATACAAAAACATAATGGTCTACGTGCAATTACAGTTCCAACATCTCATTGTATAAGGAATTAGGAAAGGAGGTATCATTGGAGAACGGGACTAGAAAATTTGACTTGAATTTACTTTCTTAATAGGAAGAGGATATTGTTTTTATTTCCATTATTTTATTGGAATGGTTTGAGAGAAATGATGGAGATTATTGGGAAGGTAAAGATCATCTCTAAAATACCATCTGTATTACTCCGTTTTCACATTGCTAATAAAGACATACCCGAGACTGAGTAATTCGCAAAGAAAAACAGGTTTAATGGACTCACGGTTTCACGTGGCTCAGGAGGCTGCACAATCGTGGCAGAAGGCTAGGAGGAGCAAGTCACATCCTATATGGCGGCAGGGAAGGGAGAATGAGAGCCAAACGAAAGGGGTTTCCCCTTATAAAACCATCAGATCTCATGAGACTTATTCACTACCACGAGAACAGTGTGGGGGAAACCGCCCCCATGATTCAATTATCTCTCACCAGGTCCCTCCTACAACACATGGTAATTATGGGAGCTACAATTCAAGATGAGATTTGGGTGGGAACAGAGCTAAAACATATCACCATCTATCAGTCTGAGTCCTCCAAAAAGCAGACACCAGGATAGAAATGGATATAAAAGAGATTTATTGGTAAAACATTCGTGAATGACAAATGGGAGGAAGCAAGAGGAAGCAAGAAGAACTTTAGCCTTTGACGCATGTCCGAGCTCTGTGATGAGAAAAGAGGAGCAAAGGAAGATTGGGCAGGAAGAGTCTCAGAATGTTCCATCTAAGCCGTATTTTCTTTCACTGGGAAGAAATGCTTTGATATTCTAGTAACTTTTAAACATTGATTAGTGAAATTGTTTTCAATTTTCCTTGACATTAATGTGTACTTTTAATATTCCTTAAATAAACAGCTAATTGTGTAAAACAATTTATATTTTTAAAAATACTATTTTGTTCTCAAAATTTATAGCTCTGCAGGTATTTTACATATTGAACTTCCTCCTTATTCTCCCTACAGTTTTATTTAGAATCTATTTGTTTAATATACCACAGCAAAATGCATTTGTCATGTGTGGCTTGTGTAAAATAGGCATTTCATTCTATTTTCAATGTGGCTGCTTTCTAGAACAACGACAAAAAACGTAAATGGATACATGTATGTTGATGTGTTGCATTGTATATTATATATAAATATATGTAATATAAAATATATGACTATATATATGACATAACAAATATATTGTTTTATATATAACAATATATAACATATATACTATATAACATAATATATAATATTATATATAATATAGAAAAATATGTAGTACATATAAATATATATTATATATAAACACATTTTTTTAATATACATATATTTGGTTGGTTGGTAAAATTTTGGGGGGGAATATGGTTTTATGCTATTTTATTTTATTTTTATTTATTTATTTTGAGACGGAGTTTCGCTTGTTGCCCAAGCTGTAGTGCAATGGCCAGTCTTGGCTGACTGTAACCCCCGCCTCCGGGGTTCAAGCGATTCTCCTGCCGCAGCCTCCCGAGTAGCTGGGATTACAGGACTGCGCCACCATGCCCAGCTAATTTTTTGTATGTTTAGTAGAAACAGGGTTTCACCATATTAGCCAGGTTGGTCTTGAACTCCTGACCTCAGATGATCTGCCTGCCTTGGCCTACCAAAGTGCTGGGATTACAGGCATGAACTGCCATGCCCAGCCTATGCTATTTTAATAAACTAATCATGGTTTTGTGTGAACTAAGTATGAAACCATAAGCATGTATTTTACACTGCCTTGCAATAGATTGCATTTTGAAGATTTCTGCTATTTTCAGAATAAATAATGAAAATAGCTGCATATTAGAGTTGAAATTAAACCTTGTAGAGCAGTTTTCCATGTATCATATTTTTGAAGTGTTCATTTACAAACATATTTTTCTGATAATAATATAGACCCCAAATTAATATTTTATTGTTTGCTAATTTATCTAAAGCAAAGTCAATAAACACTGGCTTTTTAAAAATGCAGCATACAAGCCATTTTACTACTATTAGAGAATTCCCCCTTGTATATAAATCTTGAAAATTTCAATGAAGACAACTATGTCTGTTTTCAGTATGGCAGCTAAAAGAAACTAGGGTTTCTAGATTTGCTACCTCCTATTCAGAGCTCAAGAATGTGAACTTGACATGGCCAATCAAATGCTCTTACCTGGATTTTTGGATATGGAATGAGTGATGGGGTGGTTAGAATTTATTCATGGTAGTAAGAACAGTGATGTTCAGAGTTATTGACAAGGTCCTACAGCTTGTGTACTGTGAATACTAGACTCTCATTAATAAAACGTAATTGTACTTTATTTTTATTTTCACTCTATTGATTTACTAAGATTAATATCCTATTACTAATTAAGTGTTCAGTATTCTTTTAAATAAATCTCTCATTTTTTGCTTAATGCTTTCAGTTTTTCTTTCTGTTGCAGATCACCAAGGATTCAGACCGATACCAATGATGCAATAAAGACATCATTTTTCCTCCAGGAAAAAAAGAGAAATATGGGTTTAGTCACCAAGGAAGAAGGCAGTAAATAGCTTTGAACACTCACATTTACACTCTAATATATCTGTGTAAAGGATATGAAGGATATAAATAATTTAGAAATTGTGGGGGAAGTAGGTATCTCTAATATTGAATAAAAAGAAAATAAATGACCAGATCAAATACCTATGTTGACTTCTATTAACACACTGTAAAGATTTCCTCACATGTTTTAACTATAGGGCTGAGATAGTTAAGAACAAACCTTTAACTTTGAGAGAGGTATTGCCAAATTGTAATTTCGGAAGAATTAAAATCCTTACCTGCTGCCATAAACAAAAGTCAGATAAAGCTAGGTAAGGAAAATTGTGAAGAAACTTAACTGTTGGAATTTGAACAACTGGAGTTTTCTCATGCCCTATCCAATACTGAGCCTTCCTTGTTCACTGAAGTCCCTTCACTTTTGTATATTGAGACTCTTCCTTCCCTGCTTAAAAATGTTGCTATTTTCTTGCCCCAGGGAATTTTGTTGCAAAAACAATACTGTTTCACTTATACTTCTTTCACTGTTTTCACAATTATAAATAGTCTGGTCCAAGTATATCCTAAAGAGCACAAAGAAAATAAACAAATGAACAAACAGAAAAAAAACTAAGTCTTCCTCATTTAAAAAATAATATCAATTATCCAGTTGCATGTAAGATATGAAAATTCTCTATCAATGTTAGAGGACAATTATTATAGTTGCACCAGTTATAGATTTCAATTTATATTGAACTATTTAGTAGATTGTTTAGTTCTTATAGTATATATGTAAACAAAAGGTTTCCTCAAAGGTGACCCACATTGAAAAATGTGAAGTCTTCAGATTTCCTTTCCACAGTATAGAAAGAGAAGTTTAAATATTTTGGAAGTTAAAACTAAATGAATTCAGCTAGTGTGTTAAGCTGATGCAATACCTTCTTAAAATGCACAAGGTCACAAGAAATAACTCCAGGCTGGAGTGGACAACCAGAATCTTTGAAAATTACTTTAATCACAATGTGAAATGCTACAGCTGAAATGAGTGAGTGCTCTAATTTCAATTGAATAGTAATAGACATTGGGTGATTTTTTGTTGTAGAGTGATACTTTGTTACAAAGGCCATGTGACTAAAGTGACCACCTGGACATAGGAATAGTCTAAAAATCATGACGTGATCTAGAAATATCTTGGATGATGAAGAATTACCGTATACTTTTGTACTAGATTCAATCCTGCACCTTGTCCCCAGATCTTCATATTTGGCTTTATTATAGTTTGTACTCTTTCTATAATCATGAGACCATGTTGTCTCTGCATCTGCTGTATTCAGACTGAAGCACCTACGATAATGGATCCTCGTCTCTCATATGACTTGCTGGTATACCCTAGAGATCCTCTCTATCCAACTGACAGTTCTGGGCACCTCAATTCTTATCTAGGCCTTTCCTTTTTATATGGCTAGATAGGACACCACAGCTCTCTGCCTAAAAGTCATCCAGGCACAACCAAAAATGAGGGGGAGTTAAAGCTCCATAGGAGTTTATTTGATCAATGAGAGACTAAAATCAGTGAAAAAAATTATTCCCCTCTTCTCCCACAGTGGGCTATTCTCTGATTTAGTTTGTATGAGTTCTTGAAAGATATACTATGACTTTAAATAGTCAGTTGAACATTTCAGCTGTCAACTGTAATGTAAACCTTGCATCATCTCTCCTGATTTTCCCATTATATTCTCTTTGTCCTTTTTCCCTACTACTTAGAATAATACTCCTAATAAAGTAATAATATACAAACCTTCTGTGTCAGACTTGGCTTTCTATGGCGAGGTTTAGACAGATGCATCTATAATTAGGATGAGATTCTGGTATTAAACCATTGTTCTGATGGCATAAGGACCCCATTGTTGGTGGGAAGTTGTAGATAGTAACATAGGTCATACAGTGGTATCCAATTATTAAAGTTGTCTTCTTTGGTTAATTGAAATGCACTATAGATGGAACGTTATGCTAAGTGAAATAAGCCAGGTGCAGAAAGACAAACATCATATGTTCTCGTTTTATGTAGGATCTAAAAATCAAAACAATTAAACTCATGTATGTAGACAGTAGAAGGATGGTTATCAGAGGCTAGGAAGGGTAGTGGGGGATAAGGGGGAGGTGGGGATGATAAATGGGTAAAAAAATTAGAAAGAATAGATAAGACCTACTATCTGATAGCATAACAGGGTGACTGTAGTCAATAATAACTTAATTGTACATTTTTAAATAACTTAAAGAGTATAATTGGTTTGTTTGTAACTCAAATGATAAACGTTTGAAGGGAAAAATACCCCCATTCTCCATGGTGTGCTTATTTCACTTTGCACGCCTGTACGAAAATATCTCATGTACCTCATAAATATGTACACCTACTATGTACCCACAAAAGTTAAAAGTTAAAAAAAGAGAAATACAGTGGTGATAATGTTACATGGTACTGAGGAAATAATACTTGCCAGGTTAGGATAGTCTTAATTCTTTTAAGCCTGTTAAGAACCTTGAAAAATATAATATAGTCAGGAAAGCCAACTACCAATGCAAAACACGGAGAAACCTGGCCGGAAATTTAGGACCAGTTTCTAATTTTGATATTATGTCTAAAACAACACTCAATGATGAATAATTGTCGAGACCTGAGCAACAGAATGGTGACATTTGAATGGGTAAACCTGAGAACGTTTATCCTCCAGATTTCACTATTAAATCTCCAGAATGAAAGAAGCAATGACTTTCCACTTTCCGGAGAAGACCAGCCACTCTTTTCTGGAGACCATGCTGTGAGCTCACCTGAGGTAGGCCCCTCACCATGTAAAGCTGATTTTCCTTAAGATCTGCTCTCACTACCCTCATACTTCTAGGCTGCTTATGAAGGACAGCTCTATGCACAGCCTAATTAAGTACCAAATAAATTGTAGGAACCAGTGGAACAAGTATGAAAGTGGATCTTGAGAGTTTTGCTGGTGAGGACAAAAGACCGAATATGGAAAACTCAACTCTTTTTGAAAAGAGAGTCTAATCTAATAGGTTGTCGTAATGGGTCCTTAGAACTTCCATATGCCTTTAGTAAATTAAATGGAATTTGAGAATACACCACCTGATTATGTTTTGCAGATGGCTCAGAGAAAATTGGTTTAATTAAGGTAATAACTAATGTACTGGTGAAGATGATATAAACCTTTGAAAAGATCAATAGTGGCTTTCCTCCATAGGCCAATATTGATGGTAGAAGAAGCTGCCCTAGAACTGGGCTTGTTAGGTAGGAGTCAGCCAATGACTTTTGACTTCCTACATATCTTGCTGAAAATGCTAACATAACAAAACCTTACTTCAGGCCACTTCTGAGGATTATAATGTACAAACCTAAAGTATTGTAGTGGCCAGGCATGGTTGCTCACACCTATAATCTGAGCACTTTGGGAGGCCAAGGCGGATGGATCACCTGCAGTTAGGAGTTCAAGACCAGCCTGGCCAAGATGGTGAAACCCCATCACTACTAAAAATATAAAAATTAGCTGGGCGTGGTGGCATGCACCTGTAATCCCAGCTATTTGGGAGGCTGAGACAGGAGAATCACTTGAACCTGGGAGGTGGAGGTTGCAGTGAGCCAAAATCACACCATTGCACTCAGCCTGGGGGTTAGGAGTGAAACTCCATCTCAAAAAAAAAAAAAAAAAAAAAGAAATTTCCTGATTTTTTTTTTTCCAAAAGGGAAAGAGGTTATTTTCTATATAACCTTCTTTTGAAAAGAGGTTTACATGAATGAAAATGGGAAGAATAAAGAACATCAAAAGAATACAAATGACACATATTTTATATAATTTTTGAAAAGTATATAAATTATATATTTTTATATTTTCTATAACCAATGAAAGAGGAATATCCAGACATTTTGAGGACTGTTGGATATGATCTCTGCACTGACACCTGAGTCAAATGATGTAAAGACTCATGTTGTTCACATTAGAATAAGGCATATAGATGACAGGAATGAAAGGAGGCAGTAAAATAATGTTGGCCAAAATTCACCTCATAATTGTTTGAGCAAGTACACAGCCTCACACTATTTTGTTTTGCTCAGTCTCCAAGTATGTAATTGGATACATTTATTTAGCAGTTGAAATTATATGTTTCAATTTTCTGTTTATAAGATATAACTTTAGATTATTATGGGATGTTATTTACTCTATCACTCATGATTAATTATCTACCTCCTAATAATTACATTTCTTGTAGGCCACTTGCTTACCAAATGGAATAATAATGATAAGTAGTAACTTTAAAATTCATTGTCTTTATTTCCAAATCATGTGTTCTTTCCATTATCATTGTGTAGTTATATTCTTAACCCATTTTATGTTAAAATATTATTCTAATTTCTTTTATTATTAAAGAAATATATCCTCATAATTGAAAATAGAAAGAATAAAGAACATCAAAAGAAAACAAAAATTCGCTACCAACTATGCATAGTTTAATAAGTTATTCACAATATCTCTAGCATTATAGGGTCAAGAATCTTATATTAAACATGAATGATAGCAACAAGTTAATGGAGAAAACCAAGAATCTTATCAAAAACACACATTTTTCATAAGCCATAAGATGTTTTCCTGCATTGAGATAAGAACCCAATAGGCTCTCAAATGTCTGGAGAAATATAGCAATAGGAATGCAAGTAGCAAAGAAATTGAGCCATTTTTGTTATCTGAATGTCACTGTAAAGGTTAACAATAAGTTATTAGGCTAGTATTACTGTCTTCTATAAAGTTACATGCCGCTAACTAGACAAAAGGAACTCTCTCCATCTGCAACATACCCTCCGATCTTCTGCAAAAATTGCTAAATATCTACATGATAAAATCAAGTCTTAATTTCTCAAAACACATATAATTACATGCAGTACTATAATGTGAAATAAATTTGGGTGGTTGTTAATACACCTTATATGTCTATCTATGCATACTTTTCAAATTACTTATGTGACAAAGCGGGGATATTGTAGGTTTCTTTCATATTTTCTAATCATAAATTATATTCCATGTAATCGAAAAAGTTTTTGGGTTAACAACTTAAATGTTAATTAATATATTTAGAAATCCTGCACTTAGTAATGAAGGTCTAGTCAGATGGCCAACACAAAAAAATATGTGGAAATAAGAAATAAAATAAATATGAACTATACCAACTTGAACCTATCGTGAGTAAACTTAGGTAACTCATTTTCCCTCTTACACTGAAAATAGAATGGCATGACAGTAAGTAGCAAGAAAAAAGTGATATATGAAGGCTAAAAGTGATATACAAAGGATACTTCTAATGAGTTTTTCAGATCAAAACATCAAATGTAAAATTTTAGGAAATTTTTTTTCTACTAAATAACATCTTTTAGTGCTGTTTAACAGTTATTCTATATAGCTATTGGTTATCAGCATTATTTTAACAGAAGTATTTCACATATTTCACCATTTTTTTCTCCCTCTCTCTTTTCTTTTATTTTGCTATGGTTTCACGGGCTTGTGAAAGAACTTTCTGGCCTTTCAAATTCAATCTCTTTCTCTGTCATTTTTCTCAGCTAGTGAAAGTAAATGCTTTTTTTTATTTAAAAAATTTGTGGGTACATATTAGGTGTATATATTTATGAAGTATGTGAGATATTTTGATACAGGCATGCAATATTTAATAGTCACATCAGGGTAAATGGTGTAACCATCACCTCAAGCATTTATCCTTTTTGTTACAAACAATTCAGTAAACTCTTTAAGTTATCTTAAAGTGTACATTTAAATGATTTCTATAGTCGTCCTGTCTTGCTAGCAAAAATTCAGTATTATTCATTCTTTCTAACAATCTTCTGTACCCATTAATCACCCTACTTCTCCTTCACCCTCCCACCCACTACCTTTCTCAGCATCTGGTAACCATCCTTCTACTATCTTCATGAGTTCAATTGTTTTGATTTTTAGATACCACATGTAAGTGAGAATATACGAGGTTTGTCTTCTGTATCTGGCTTATTTCACTTAACATGACAACCTCCAGTTCTATCCATGCTATTGCAAATGGCAGGATCTCTTTTTTTTTTTTTATGGAGAAACTACTGCATTGTGTATATGTACCGCATTTCCTTTATCCATTCATCTGTTGATGGACACATAGGTTGCTTCCAAATCTTGCCTATTGTGAATAGTGCTGCAATTAACATGGGAGTGCAGATAGCTCTTCAGTATGCTGATTTCCTTTCTTTGGGGAACATACCTAGGAATGGGATTGCTAGATCACATGATAGTTCTATTGTTAGTTTTTTGAGAAAACTCCAAACTCTTCTCCATAGTGGTTGTGCTAATTGCCTTACCACCAACTATGAACGAGGATTACTTTTTCTCCACATCCTCGTGAGCTTTTGTTATTGCCTGTCTTTTGGATAAAAACCATTTTAACTGTTTGCCATTTGTATTTCTTCTTTTAGGATATGTCTATTCAGATCTTTTGCTCATGTTAAAATCAAATTATTAGATTTTTTCCTATAGGGTTATTTGAGCTTCTTATATATTCTGGTTATTAATCCCTTGTCAGACAGGTAGTTTGCAAATACTTTCTCTTATTCTGTGGTTGTCTCTACTTTGTCAACTGCTTCTTTTGCTGTACAGAAGCTTTTTAGCTTGATGTGATTTCATTTGTCCATGCTTGCTTTGGTTGCCTGTGCTTGTAGGGTATTACTCAATAAATCTTTGTCCAGTCCAATGTCCCAGAGAGTTTCTCCAATGCTTTCTTTTACTGGTTTCATAGGTTGAGGTCTTAGATTTATGTTTTAATCCATTTTTATTTGATTTTTGTAAATGGTGAGAGATAGGAGTCTGGTTTCATTCCTCTGTATATGGATATCCAGTTTTCCCAGGACAATTTACTGGATAAACTGTACTTTCTCCAATGTATGTTCTTGGCAATACGGTCATAAAATAGTTCACTGTAGGCATATGGATTTATTTATTGGTTCTATATGCTGTTCCACTGGTGTATGTGACTGTTTTTATGCCAGTACCATGCTCTTTTGGTTACTATAGTCTGTAGTGTAACTGGAAGTCAGCTAATGTGATTCTTCCAGGTTTGTTCTTTTTGCTTATAATGGCATTGGCTATTCTGGGTCTTCTGTGGTACCACATGCATTTTAGAATTTTTTTTTTTTTCTATTTCTGTGAAGAATGTCATTGGTATTTAGACAGGGATTACATTGAATCTGTAGTTTGCTCTAGGTATTATGAACTTTTAAAAAATATTGATTCTTCAAATCCATGAAAAGAGAATATCTTGGCATTTTTTGCGTCCTCCTCAACTCCTTGCATCACTGGTTTACAGTTTTCATTGCAGAAATATTTCACATCTTAGGTTAATTTCTAGGTATTTTATTTGTAGTTATTATAAATGAGATTACTTTCTTGATCTTTTTATTCAGATTGTTCACTGTTAGCACACAGAAATGCTACCGATTTTTGTATGTTGATTTTGTATCTTGCAACTTTACTGAATTTGTTTATCAGTTCTGAAAGGTTTTTCCAAATTTAAGTTTGTATCATCTGCAAACAAGGATAATTTGACTTCTTTCATTCCAATTTGGATGCCCTTTATTTCCTTCACTTCTCTGATTGCTTTAGCTACGACTTCCAGTATAATGTTGAATAACAGTGGTGAAAGTGGACATCCTTGTCCTGTTTCAGATCTTAGAGAAAAGCCTTTGAGTTTTTCCCCATTCAGTATGATGCTAGCTGTGGGTCTGTTGTATATAGCTTTTATTATGTTAGAGGTATGTTCCTTCTACACCCAGTTTTCTATCAAGAAGGGATGTTGTATTTTATCAATGCTTTGTCAGCATCGATTGAAATGATTATATGGTTTTTGTCCTTGATTCTGTTGACATCATGTATCACATTGATTAATTTGCATATATTGGACCATCCTTGCATCAGTGAGATAAATCCCACGTGGTCATGATGATTGCTCCTTTTAATGTGTTGTTGACTTTGGTTTGATAGCATTTTGTTGAGGATTTTTGCCTCAATATCCAACAGAGATATTGGCCTGTAGATTTCTTTTTTTGATGAGTCTTTGTCTGAATTTGGTATCAGGATAATGCTGGCCTTGTAGAATGAGTTTGGAAGTATTCCTTCCTCCTCTATTTTAAGGAATAGTTTGAGTAGGATTGGTAATAATTCTTCTTTACATGTTTGGTAGAATTCAGCACTGAAGAAATCAGGTACCCAGCTTTTCATTTGGGAGTCTTTTTATTATGGCTTCAATCTCAATACTTGTTGGTGTGTTCAGGTTTTGGATTTCTTCATGGTTCAATCTTAGTAGGTTGTATATGTCTAATAATTTGTCTATTTCTTCTAGATTTTCCAGTTTGTTAGCATAAAGTCTTTCATAGCAGTCCCTAGTGATTCTTTGAATTTGTGCAGTATTGGTTATAATGTCTCCTTTTTTATCTATGATCTTATTTATTTGGGATTTCTCTCGTTTCGAAGTTAGTCTTTCTAAAGGTATGCCAATTTTGTTATCTTTTCAAAAAACATTTCCTTTCATTGATCTTTTGTATTGTTTTATATGTTTTCATTTCATTTATATCTGTCCTGATCTGTATTCTTTTCTTCTATTATTTTTTGATTTTGTTTGTTCTTACTTTTCTAGTTCTTTAAGATGTATATTAAGGTGCCTGTTTAAAGTTCTTTTTCTCTTTTTTTGATGCAGGCACAAGTAGCTATACACTTGCCTGTTAGTACTGCTTTCACTGTATTCCATAGGTTTTGATATGTTGCCTTTCCATTATCAATTGTTTCAAGATATAGTTCAATTTCCTTTTGAATATCTTCATTTACCCACTGGTCATTCACGAGCCTATTGTTAAATTCCATATGTTTGTATAGTTTCCAAAATTCCTCTTGTTATTGATTTCCGGTTTTATAGTGGTCAGAGAAGATGCTCGATATTATTTTATTTTTGAATGTTTTAAGACTTGTTTAGTGGCCTAACATAAGGTCTGTCCTTGAGAGTTCTTCATGTGCTAAGGAAAAGAATGTATATTCAGCAGCCATGGATGAAACATTCTGTAAATATCTATTAGTTCCATTTGGTCTATAGTGCAAATTAAGTCTGATGTTTCTTTATTGATTTTCTCTCTGGAAGATCAATGCTGAAAGTGGAGTGTTGAAGTATCAAGTTATTATTGTATTGGGGGCTATCTCTTTCTTTAGCTTTAATAATATTTGCTTTATATATCTGGGTACCCCAGTGTTGGGTGCATATACATAAAATTGTTATAGTCTCTTGTTGAATTGACACTTTGTTCATCATGTAATGACCTTCTCTGTCTCTTTTTATATTTTTTGTTTTGAAATACAGTTTGACTGATGTAAGTATAGCCACTCCTTGTCTTTTTTGGTTTCCATTGGCATAGAATATCTTTTTCCATGGCTTTATTTTCAGTCTATATGTGTCTTTATAGGTAAAGTGTGTTTCATGTAGGAAACAAATCATTGGGTCTTGTTTTCTTTATTCAGCTACTCCATGTATTTTGATCGGAGTTTAGTCCATTTACATTCAAACTTATTATTGATAAATAAGGATTTATTTCTACCATTTTGTTATTTGTTGTCTGGTTGTTTTGAGGTCTTCTCTTCCTTCTTTTCTTCTTTGTTTTCTTCCTATTAGTGAAGTTTTGTGTGCTTTTTAATGGTGGTATAACAATTTATTGCTTTGTGTGTGTGTGTATCCATTGTATGTTTTTTGATTTGAGGTTACCATGAAGCTTGCAAATACTATTTTATAACCCTTTATTTTAAGGCGATACCAACACCACTTGCATAAACAAGCAAACAAGCAAAAAGAAAACTAGTAAAAGCTTGACACATTAACTTCATCTCCCAGTTTTTTAAACTTTTTATTGTTTCTATTTATATTGTAATGTACTGTCTATGGCTTGAAAAGTTGTAGTTATTCTTTATGATTTGTTCACCTTTCAGCCTTTCTACTTAACATAAGTGTAGTTTATACACTGCAGTTACAGCATTATAATATTCTGTGTTTTTCCGGGTACTTACTATTGCCAGTGAGTTTTCTACCTTCAGATGATGTCATATTGCTCAGTAATGATCATTTATTTTTGATTGAAGTACTCCATTTAGCATTCCTTGTAGGAGAGGTCTGGTGTTGATGACAGCTTTTGTTTTTCTGGAAAAGCCTTTATTACTCATTCATGTTTGAAGGATATGTTTGCCAAATATACTATTCTAAGGTAAAAAGGTTTTTTCCTTCACACTTTTATTATGTCATGACACTCTCTTCTGGACTGTAAAAATTCCACTGAAAAGTCTGCACCCAGACATAATGGAACTTTATTGGATGGTGTTTTTTCTTTTCTCTTTCTGCTTGTAGGATCCTTTCTTTATCTTTGATCTTTGGGAGTTTGCTTATTAAAGTGCCTTGAGGTAGGCTTCTTTGTGTTAAAGTGTCTTGATATTCTATAACCGTCTTGTACTTGAATGCTGATATCTTTCTCTAGGTTTGGGAAGTTCTCTGATATTATCTCTTTGAATAAATTTTCTACCCCTATCTCTTTCTCTACCTCCTCTCTATGGCCAATAATTCTTAGATGTTCTCCGTCAAGGAATTTCAGGTATTTGAAAGGACTTGGGTGTTGTGATCTAAGCTGTACCTGCATCAGTGGGCAATCCAAGCCCACGAGTCTTGCAGACTCATGGAGGTACTGCCTTAATGGTCTTGCTTAAGTCTGGAAGAATTCCATGGATTACTAGGCAGAAATTCATGTTCTCTTCCCTTACTTTCTTCCAAACAAATGGAGTTTTTCTCTGTGTTCTGAACCACCTGGGGCTGAGGCTAGGGTGACACAAGCTCCCCTGGGGCCACCACCACAGGGACTGAGCTGGGTCAGATCTGAAATCAGCACAGCAATGAGTTTCCCCCAAGGCCAGCTATAAGCACTACTTGGCTATCGCCTGTGTTTCCTCAAGGTCGTAGGGCTCTACAATCTGCAAGTGGTGAAGCCAGCCAGACTTGTGTCCTTCCATTAGGGTGTCCAGCTCCCCCAGGCCCTGGGCAAGTCTGAAGATGCCACCTGGGAGCTAGGGACTGGAGTCAAAGATCTTGGATGTCTACTTAGTGTTCTATTCTTCTATGGCTGAGCTGACTCTCAAACCATGAGACACAATTCTTACCATTCTTCCCTCCCCTTTTCATAGGCAGAGGAGCTTCATTCCATGGTCACCACCATCCTAGGCCCACAAAGAGCCATGCCGAGCTACCACCGATGTTCACTTCAGGCCCAAGGGCTCTTTAGTCAGCTTGTGGTGAATGCTGCGAGACTTGGAACTCACCCCTCACAGCAGTGTCCTCCACTCTTGCCCACTGCATGTCCAGAATTGCCATTTAGGAGACAAGAACTGGAATCAGGGATCCCAAGAGCTTGCTAGTTTTTTAACCCCACTGTGACCAAGCTGGTACCTACAGTGCAAGACAAAGTCCCCTTTACTCTTCCCTCTGCTTTTCTCAAGCAGAATGAGTCTCTCCCCATAGCCACTACATCTGGAAATGTGCTGGGTTTTACCAGAAGCCATTATGTCTCAGTCTCACCCAAGGCCCATGACGTACTGTCTAGGTGTCATTATAAGTTATTCAATGCCCAAGGACAATTTAGTCAGCAGGTGTTGGATCCTGCCAGTACTGGGTCCTTCTCTTCAAGGCAGCAGCTTCACTTCTGGCCCAGGCTGTGTTTAGAAATTTAATCTGGGAGCTGGGGCCTGGAATGGGGGCCTCATGATCCTTCCTTGTGCCCTCTCCTACTGTGGCTGAGTTGGTGTTTAAGATACAAAACAAAAGACCTTTCTACCCTTCTCTCTTATCTCCTCACTAAGAAGGAAGGGGCATCTTTTGGAGCCATGCACTGTGCTGCCTGGGGTTGGGAGAGGGGTGACGCAAGCACTCCTTTAGCTGCTGTGGCTGGTGTCTCAGTACTTCACATTCCCCTGAAGTCCACTGGCTCATAGCCCAGCTCAGCATTGGGTCTTAAAGTCCTCGTGTCCTAGATTGCCTTTCAAGTTTATTTAGGGCCTCAGAACACATCAGCCCAGGTGGTGAGGCTTGCCAGAACTCAAGATTCCACTACTGGGATGGGTGATACCCCTCTGGGTAGGTCCAGTTCGGATGCTTCCTCCATGGGTTGGCATCAGCTGAGTTCAATGAAGTTTTGCTTTGTGACAAAGCAGCACTGAGCTCAATGCAGTTTCACAATTGCTGCTCTCTTCCAACGGCACAGATTTCTCCATGCCATGCAGCCACTGCACGGGAATGGGGGAGGGTGGCACTGGCAATTTAAGTTTTCGTACCCTATTCAGTACCTCTTTTAGTAACACGAAGTTAAAACCAGGTACTGCAAGTGCTCCCCTTATTTTTGTTTTTTTTTTAATGAAGGTGCTTATCTTGTGTAGATAGTTGTTAAATTTGGTGTTCCTTCAGGGGGGATAATGGATGGGGCCTTCTGTTCTGCCATCTTGCTCCATCTCCTCTCTTCCTTTCTTTATTTAGCATAGTTGATTCATTATCTGATAGGCAACCATGATTATTCTTTAAAAACACTGCTACATCAATGAAGTATTTTTGAATAATGTTAGCAGTTCCTAATTATAGAGAGTAAAACATAAGAAAGCACGTCCATTTCTATGTGTTTTCACATTCTGAATTGTTGAATGTGTTAATTTTCAATCCTTTTTTTTCTTGCCTTGTAAATTAATATGACTGGAAATGATAGCGAATATGTACTCCCTGGATCCAGACTGCATGGACTTGTGTACCCGACTTTTTTCTTAATAGTTGTGTGATAACTGAACAAATTTCTTAGCTCTTTGTGTCTTTTTTCTAACATGTAAGGTGTTGATAACAATAGTACCTAGATGTTACAATCATTGTGAGGATTAAATACATGAGTGCATTTAAAACACTTAGGACAATGATGGGAAATTAGTGAATGCTCAATATCATTGTTGCTATCTTTATGTATTTACCTAAGCATACTTTTTTTGCTTTTATTGCTTAAACGAATAAAAAATATTAAATATTTGCATTTGTTTTTTATTTAATTTTTCAAATATATCATTGCCTTGGTGACCTTTCTTGATTTGTTTTGTTTTTTGACACGGAGTCTTGCTCTGTCACCAGGCTGGAGTGCAGTGGCACTATCTTGGCTCACTGCAGTCTCCACCTCCCAGGTCAAGCAATTCTTCTGCCTCAGCTTCTCGAGTAGCTGGGACAACAGGCGCATGCTGCCACGCCTGGCTAATTTTTTTATTTTATTTTATTTTTGTTTTTATTTTTTATTTTAATAGAGACGGGGTTTCACCATGTTGCCCATGCTGGTCTCGAACTCCTAAGCTCAGGCAATCCGCCCTCCTTTGCCTCCCAAAATGCTAGGATTACAGGCATGAGCCACCGCGCCCATCCGCCTTGATGACCTTTCTATGATAATATGTATATGGACATGTACTCTTCTTGTTAATAGCTCTATAATGTTTTATAATATGCATATATTTCAAGTGATTTAACTAAGGGGTTTTTCTCCTTGGCAGTGTTGACATATTGGGCTGGATAATTTTCTGTTGTGGGGGATGCACTGTGTGTTATAGGATGCTCAGCAGCATTCTTGACTCTGCCTATTAAATGACTGATGCAGTCTGCACTGAGTTGTGACAGCCAATATACTTCCAAACACTGACAAATGCTTTTAGGGGGACAGAATTATCCCTAGCTGAGAACCACTGATTTAGGTAATTATTAATTGAAGGATATTTGTTTCTAGGTTTTTGCTATTTTCAACAATAATACATTGTGCTTCCTAGTAAAGACGTAAAGTTTGTGCATATTATTTGAGTTTATTTTTTCCTCCTACTCCCAGTCTTCTGAGGCTTTTAGAGACATTTCCCTCTTAACAAACTTAGTCTCCATCCAGTCAGAGCATATTTCTATCTCTTTCTAGAAATAATTCTGTCTTTAACTTCACCCCCTTTTAAACGAAAATCTTCTCTTTCCTCTTAACTTTAAAAAATTCCAAGCAGTTTACCATTCCAGAACACAGAGTACTAATCCTTGAGTTTGTCCCATTAAGGAGAACTATGATGAGTTCCAAATAATCACAGTATCTTGGTAACAGAAGAATATTTTGCCAGTATCAGAGAATTAATGTGGCATAAAACTCCAAGGTCTTTGGATGAGACAAGAGAGTATAATAAAGGAATTTTCAAGAACCAAAGAATTATCCCATGGTGTTCAGGCAGTAGTACTTGGCCTCTAACTGTTTCTTACATTGAGGAAGTCAGAATACCACTACTTATTTTGAACAGAACTGCCTTGATGGAACATTACTTTTTACAAATAGGAGAGTAAAATAGAGAAATATTTACCAGTCACAGTTGAAAGAATCAGACGTATCTAGGAACATAATCTGAATTCTGCTTTTATTAGAAGTATGACCTTTTACTTTTTAAAAACCTATGAGCCACAATTTTCTTATCTAATAAAAATAATAATATTAGTTATTTCAAAGTTCTTGTGTTAATTAAATAAGATGATATGGGTAAAAGGATTTAGCAGAGAACCTGGTACATAGTAAGCATATTATAACTGTGATTCCAGAATTAATGAAATCTGTTAGCTGCTTCTGCAATAGAATTTGTATTTTAAAATCTCTTTAAAATGCAGCAGTGATGTTCAATGGTGTTGACAGGATCCTGCAGCTTCTGTAACATCATAGCTAAACTTGATAAAACATAAAACATAATTATAGTCTTATTTTTCACTCTGCCTATTATTCAGGCTTATATGCTTTCCTGAACTAAGAGTTTAATGTTTTTTCATATATATATTTTATATATATATAGACAGAGAGAGAGAGAGAGAGACAGAGTCTCGCTCTGTAACACAGGCTGGAGTCACTCAGGCTGGAGTGCAGTGGCGTGATCTTGGCTCACTGCAGCCCCCACCTCCTGGGTTCAAGCAACTCTCCTGGGTCAGCCTCCCGAGCAGCTGGGACTACAGGCATGCACCACCACGCCTGGCTAATTTTTGTATTTTTAGTAAAGACGGGGTTTCACCAAGTTGGCCAGGATGGTCTTGATCTGACTTCGTGATCTGCCCGCCTTGGCCTCCCAAAGTGCTGGGATTACAGGCATGAGCCATCGTGCCCAGGCTTAAAATAAATATCTTTTTAGAAATACTTTCAGTGTTGCATGCAACCAAGGACTCAGGCCAATCCTGGTGATATCGGGATTTGTTGATGCAGTATACATTGCAATTTCTACCTTGTATCATTTCTTAGGCATTACTAAATATTAGTGATTAATAAAACCTGTAATCAAGTTTCAAGTGAATCTATTTGGCAATTAACATATATGAGGTACATATAAAATCTTCCCCAGTTATCAGATACAAAATTTAGAAACCTATAATTTGAAGTATTCATGTAAATCATATCCTGAATATGTTAGCTATGTATG
Source organism: Homo sapiens (assembly GCF_000001405.40). NCBI lineage: Eukaryota > Metazoa > Chordata > Mammalia > Primates > Hominidae > Homo > Homo sapiens. The sequence continues at coordinate 102,672,943 of NC_000009.12, forward strand.
AAATAGTTACAGAAAACCAAAATGTAATTCCAAAGTAAATTTTTAAAATATTTAGAGGTTACATATAACATATGTACATTGCTGAATTTATAACTGCTGCGTACATTAAAATTATAGCTGAAATAAAAGTCAATTACATGGAAGACATTAATAAATTATAACAAATTGCAAACAAAACATTAAAAACTAGAGATATGAAAAATATTTTAAGAGACATGGAGATTGGAATAATCAGAATTCATATATGTCTTAACAGAATCAAGGTAGAAGGGGACAGATCAGATGGAAAACAGAAAATAATCAATATTACTATAGCTAAAATTGATATCTATTTAAAAAGTAGACTTTTACTTGAGAAATTTCTGAAGGCTGTTCTTTATAATGAAAACAATACCAAACTAACTAACTCATCAACAAGATGGAAGAATACACAAGGAAATTTGTGATCCTAGTAGAAAAGATCAAAAATTGGTTTGTGTAAAATCATAAATAATAGAATTATAATTAATTTATATGATTAAAAATGCCTAGAATGCAGAACAAAATGGACATGTTATGTGAATAGATAAGTGATGGGAGACCACAAGTTTTAAATCTTTTTTTTTTTTTTTAAACAGCGTCTCGCTCTGTCACCCAGGCTGGAGTGCAGTGGTGCTATCTTGGCTCACTGCAGCCTCCATCTCCTGGGTTCAAGGGATTCTCGTGTCTCAGGCTCTCGAGTGGCTGGGCTTATAGGCATGCACCACCACACCTGGCTAATTTGTGTATTTTCAGTAGAGACAGGGTTTCGATATGTTGGCCAGGCTTGTCTCAAACTCCTGACCTCAAGTGATCTGCCCACCTCGGCCTCCCAAAGTGCTGGGATTACAGGTGTGAGCCACTGCACCAAGCCAACCTTTTGTGTTTTCAGAGAGACAGTGTAAGAAATCTAATTTACTTTAGACTTCATTGCACTTCTACCCCATAAATTTATACAAACTTGTTAAAAGTAAAAGGTATAATTTGAAAGTTAACTATTGGGAAAAATGGAAATATAATATTTATTGTATCTTAAGCCAGTATAAGAAAAAATTAGAACAAGACAAATAAATGAAAACAGAATTTGCCTCATTGTGTTCTTGATTTGCATTTCTCTGATGATTAGTAATGATGAGCATTTTTTCATGTTTGTTGGTTGCTTGCATGTCTTTTGAGAAGTGTCTGTTCATGTACCTTGCTCATTTTTTGATGGTGTTATTTGCTTTTTGCATGATAATTTAAGTTCCTGAATATAGGTCCGTGTTGGACGCCTAGTTTGTGAATAATTTTTCTCATTCTATAGACTGACTGTTTACTCCATTGGTAGTTTCTTTTGCTATGCAAAAACTCTTTAGTTTATTTAGGTCCCACTTATCAATATTCGTTTTGTAGCAAATGCTTTTGGGGACTTAGTCAAAAGCTATTTGCCAAGGCCAATGTTGAGAAGGCTAGTTCCTAGGTTTTCTTCTAGAAGTTTTGTAGTTTGATGTCTTATATTTAAAACGTTAATCCATCTTGAGTTAATTTTTGTATATAGAATGACTATTATTAAAAAGTCAAAAAACAAAATTAGCAGATGCTGGTGAAGCTGCTGAGAAAAGGGAACTCTTATATAATGTTGGTGGGAATATACATTTGTTCAGTCACTGTGGAAAGCAGTTTGTAGATGTCTCAAATAATTTAAAACAGAACTGGTGGGTGTGGTGGCTTACGCCTGTAATCCCAGCACTGTGGGAGGCCGAGGTGGGTGGATCACCTGAGGTCAGGAGTTCGAGACCAGCCTGACCAACATGGGGAAACCCCATCGCCACTAAAAATACAAAAAATTAGCCAGGCGTGGTGGCAGGCACCTGTAATCCTAGCTACTCGGGAGCCTGGGGCAGGAGAATCACTTAAATCTGTGAGGTGGAGGTTGTAGTTAGCTGAGATCGCTCCAGCCTGGGCAACAGGAGTGAGACTCCATCTCAAAATAAATAAATAAATAAATAAATAATAAAAAAGAAGAACTACTACTCAACCCAGCAGTCTCATTACTGGTATCCCATTACATATCCAAATGAAAATAAATTATTATACCAAAAAGACACATGTACTCACATGTTCATTGCTGTGTTATTTACAATAGCAAAGACCATGGATTTAACATAGGTGCCCATCAGTGGTAGATCGGATGAAGAAAATGTGGTATATAAATATACCATAGAATACCACACAGCCATATAAATAACAACAAAATCATGTCCTTTGCAGCAACATGAATGGGGTTGGAGGTCATAATCCTAAGCAAATTGATGTATAAACAGAAACCCAAATAACCCATGTTCTCACTTATAAGTAGGGCCAAACATCGAGCACTCAGGGACGTAAACATGGGAATAATAGCCACTGCAGACTACTGGATATGGGAGGGGTGGGAAATTGGTCAAAAAACTACCTGTTGGTTATTATACTCACTACCAAGGTATAGTATACCCATTTAACAAACCTGTACATGTACCCCAAAATCCAAAATCCAAATCCCACAAATTCCAAATTTATGGGAAACATCTAAAGCAATACACAAACTATAACATTAAATGCTTATATTAGAAGATAGGGAATATTGAAAATTATAAAACTAAATATTTTACATAAGTGTTTTAGAATTATAAATATTTATCCAAATAATATAGAAGACAAATATTAAGAAAGACTAACATATTAATCAATAAACAAATATAAAGTTAATTCCTAAAGGCAAAAAATGATCATATTAAAAAATATTAATAAGCTATTTTCTGGGGAAAACAAAAGCAAAATACAGGAACTAATTATACTGGAAGTAAAACTCATAAAACAATGATGTGTAAAAACATTTTATCAATGCATGTAAAAATTTAGGTGAATAAAAACATTCATAGAAAGATACACTTTACCTATGCTGCCACAGAAAAGTGTGAATAATCCTACATTTATGATTCAAATTAATTTGCTAGATACAAATCTTTTAAAAAGAAAATATTTTATCCTATTTTGTGATACTTACCAAATTTTCAAGAAATACAAAGTGCCAAATATGTACAGTTTTTTGATAAATAAAATTGTTCTGCAGTTATTTGAGGCTGATATAAACCATTAATGTGTGTGTCTATATGTATACATGTAAAATGCCAAAAATCTAGGATAAATTACAGGTCCATTTTACTTACCAACTTTAGTATAAATATTCAAAATATAACAATCGCCAACTAACTCCAAAACAAATAAATTATTATTTAAAAAAAAGTAATACAAATATAATAACAATGGTGATAGTAATTGCTAACTACTAGTTTAAATAATGCTTACTATAGTTCAAATACTGTTCTAAATAATTTGCATATACCAACTAATTTAATTATCACAATGACCTTGTATCATATGTGCTATTATTACTATCATTTCTTGAGGAAACTGAGGCACTGCACGTTCAGACAGAAAGGAAGTGGCAAAGCTTTCTTAGACTTATATCCAGAAAATCAGATTGAAGTGTATATTGACATTCAAAACAAAGAAAACTAAAAATAAATATTTAAAGATAAATATATGAACATGATAAACCTGTATGTATATATTCATACTTTGTATATAGAGTCATGCATTATTTAATGATGAGAATGCCATCTGAGACATGCATCATTAGGTGATTTTGTCCTTGTGCAAGCATCATAAGGTATACTTACACAAACCTAGATGGTATGGCCTAAAACACACTTATGCTATATGATATAACCTATTGCTCCTAGGCTACAAACTAGTACATGTTACTGTACTGAATACTGCAGGGAATTGTAACACAATGGTAAGAATTTGTATATCTAAACATAGAAGGGCAATGTGTTGTTCTAATACATTATAATCTCTACAACATCACTAGGTAACAGAAATTTTTCAGCTGCATTATAATCTTATGGGACCAAAATAATATATGTATTTCTTCATTGATTGAAAAGTTGTTATGTGGCACATGACTGCAAAATAAAAATTCTTAATAGATATTTTGATTGAAGTTGTTGAAGGGATTAATCATTAAGAGAGATTTATATGAAGATTAAAAATTATTGGTATGACCTGAGGATTTTTCTTTATTTTATTAAATAACCCTTTATATACATGTATACAGAAGTGTATATAAATTTATACATATGTGCATATTGTATTAGTTCTGTAGGTACATGTATATTTATATCTATTTCTATTCTAAGCTCTGCATTTATATTAGAAAAAGTATCAATATTTGACCTAATAAATTATTCTGTAAGTTAGAAGGCGATTTTGGAGCAGTAATTAGCATCTATAATAAGAGGCATACAAGTGTGACTTTCACAAAAATAATAAAGTTACTAAGCTACAATGACAATGACAAGCAAGATAAATATAATAATATGAATGTGGAAAATATATGTATATATGAAGAAAACTTTAAAAATGTAATTACTAACATTAACAACAATCAGATAAAACTATGAGATATTTTACCAAAATTTTTAAGCAAAACAAAATCTATAAAAACAAGAAAACAGACTTTAAATTTACATTGTATAGCACATATTAGCTTGCTTTTAGCCAAGGTGTGAAGACTCTTTAATGATATGGGATAATCATAATAAAATAATTTTAAGTGACAAAAAACAGGATGCAAAGTGATATATAACAGATGATGTGATAATAAATAATTGTAAACAATTAAAATAATCACTTTAAATTTAAATTCATGTTGAAAACCATGAAGGAAGGATTAACATATTTGATCACTTTTTCAGAAAGCAAAGATAAAGTAAAATTGATAATTATGATAGATTTAAGGAAAAGAAATGATGATGTTTCATTTGACTCTTACTGTTGCAAGTGACGGACAATCTATCTCAAACCAATCTATGCAAACAAAGGCATCTATTTTTTTGCATAGCTTAAAAGCATAGGATTTGGTTTAGCTTTAGGTCCAACATATTGCCAATAAAATTTTCTTTCATGAAACACTGATAAAAAATCCTTTGTTTTGGTAAAGAATACCTATTTGATCTCTGCATCATATATTACCAAAGAAGCATTTAAAACAATTCTATTAAGATCAAGTATAAATAATGAATTTAGGCATTAATTTTATATTTCTATTTTGTTTCTAGCCAATGAAATATAATAGTAAAATTAAAAAATTAAAATAATGAAAAGAAAAATGCTATAATGTTCAGTATTTGCAGATACTACTTATTTTCTAAATATCCAATAAAATCAGTTATATGTTTTCCCATTTTTTTATGTCATCCTGATTTATTTGAGCAGTGGTTTGTAGTTCTCCTTGTAGAGATATTTCATCTCCCTGGTTAGCTATAATACTAGATATTTTATTCTTTTTGTTGCAGTTGTGAATGAGAATTCAGTCCTTCCATTTTGAGCGGTTTTAACATGAAGGGGTATTGAATTTTATCAAAAGCCTTTTCTGTGTCTATGGAGATAATCATATGATGTTCGTCTTTAGTTCCATTTCTGTCATGAATCACATTTATCGATTTGTGTATGTTGAACCAAATTTGCATCCCAGGGATAAAGCATACTTTATTGTGGTGGATAAGTTTTTCATGTAAGCCTATTTATGTGTGAATGCACATGAATGTACATACGCTGTACACTTTGGGACATGCACATGTGCACACATTCACATGTAGGTATAAACCCATATTCATAAATATATCCACATATATGTATACGTATATATGCACGCACAAAAAATTTGTGCCTATGTATGCATGCATAGGCACATACATATTCATATACACATAGGTATTATGAAATAAAATTTCATGTACAGTTTTATAACAGTGGTCTTATTGGAAAATATATTCTGAACATCTAGGGCTATATCTCCTTTATATAATTTAAATGGTTTTATGCTATTACATTTTATGATTGTCTAATACTTTATATATTCACCCATTTTTCTTCTAATTTTCACTAAATATGTGATGCCATTAAGAAACTGGGTCTGAAGTCACATCACATGGGATACCAGTCATAGTAATCGCGTTCTTGTAAAACAAAATACTCTGAGTATTTAATGAGGAAGATAAACAGCAAACCAGGAATGTTTTGCTTTTAGTAAATACTCAGTAATTCTAGGCTATTACTGTAGGTATTGTCTCTATCCTATCTATCTCTCTATCTCTGTCTCTATTATCTATCTATCACCTATCTACATTTCCTTGTGATTAACAGCCTTCCTACATTATTTTTCTAAAAGTAGAGTTTGAAAATTTAAGATAATTTAAATTTTCTGTAGATCTTGCCAAATTTTCTTGCAGAAATATTGCACTAATTTAATTCTATTCACCAGTGCATCAGAATAACTGTCCATTCATTTCTGAACATCTTTATTATTTTAATTTTTTCTCATTATTCAATTTTTTCCTTAGCATAAATACAAAGATATGCCATTTTTTTCATTTGTAAAAGCAATCCAGGGTCCCTGCGTAAAAAAGTGCTCACTTGCAACTGTTGCACCTTAAATTCGTGTTATTAATATTTCAAAATGATTCCAGGAAGAAGCTCAGTTCCAGAAAAAGAAAATCCAAAATGCCTGAGTTGGAGCTGAATTTTGGGGAACTCTTCTCATTACAATACCAAAATCCCCACCCAGGGAAGATGTTATTTACCATTTTCTACCCATGTGAGGTATATAGAAGTACGATCAGCAACTGTGCCTGCACTGTCTTTACTCCACCTCTGCATATATGACTCAGCTACTCTCCACTCCCAATAAAAGCCCTGTTTTCACATGTGTTTGGGGAGATGCTGCTTTGGGAACTATCCCCACAATCTTCCTTACTTGCTGCAAATTGTTAAACACTCTTTGATTCTGACCATTAAACTGTCATCTGCCAAGTGGTCAAACCACTCATTGTGTGGGTAACATAAAGATGTAAGAGTAGAGATATTTTAACTTTATCCAAATGCAAAATTATTTCGATCAAAATGCCAGGAAGCTAATAGGCAAGCCAGTGTTGCATATAGTAACTGTGTAAGAACCTGTAGTCTACGTATAGGTGTTTTTTGTGTACTTGGATTTATGTTTTTTTCTTTTTTTCCTTAAAATGAATTGGCAAAATATTACATTTCTGAAGTTCGGTCACCCAGTTTGAATATTTTATTTTCCTAAATCATCCTATCCTCAGCATTCTCAGTTTAAAGTCTCAGTGCAGGAAGGCACAAGCTGCTGAACATGGATGTTTTCCTGCTGATTCTGTTTTTGTGTTGTCTTCTAAGAAGAATGACAATGAAGTTTCTTTCTGCTGCACTGAGGTACCCATATGTAAAAAATTACAGTCTATGTGGTAAATCTGCATGTTATCACTATGGTAGGCCATAGAAGAGAAAGTGGACAAAAAGCTGACCGTCCTCAGCAAAGTAAACAATAACAACACAGAAAAGATGAGTGATCATGGGTATTTTGTGCAAAACCAAGCAGGAAGTAAAGGTATCTGAATTACATGGTAACAATGGCCTTTAATAATCCTTGTTTGCTAGTCATATGACTCTGTTTTAGAGAATATTTAAAAAGAAAAAAATTTAGATTTGGGCCAGCTTCTCAGGAGGGAAGGAACTGAGTGCACTCAGAACCTTGGGAAATGTTTGCCTTCTGTTATGAATTCACAACTTAAATGTAAGACTTGAAATTGTAAAACTCCTCCATGAAAACAGAGGAAAATCTTCTTGCCATTGTTCTTGGCAATAATTTCTTGGATTTGACACTCAAAGCACAGGCAACAAAAGCAAAAAAAAAAAATAGATGGAACTACATCAAACTAAAAATCTTCTGCAAAGCAAAAGAAACTATCAACAAGCTGAAAAGGCAACCTGTGGAATGGAAGAAAATGTCTGTGAATTATCTTTTTTATTTTTTTCGAGACAGGGTCTAACTCTGTCACCCAGGCTGGAGGTCAGTGACATGATCACAGCTCACTGCAGCCTCGACCTCCAGGCTGAGTTGATTTTTCCACCTCAGCCATGAATACCAGAGTAGCTGGGACTACAGGGGAACACCACCACGCCTGGCTAATTTTTCAACTTTTTGTAGGGACAGGGTTTTCAACATGTTGCCCAGGCTGGTCTTGACCTCCTGGGCTCAAGAGAGCCACTTGGCTTCACTTTCCAAAGCTCTAAGATTACAGGCATGAGCCACCAAGACCAGCCATTTGTGAATTATCTATCTGAAAAGGAGTTAGTGTTCAAAATACATAAGGATCTTCTACAACTCAGGAAACTACACCAAAATGGAAAACAAAACAGAACAAAAGCCAAATGACCTAATTTTAACAAATAGACAAAAGACTTGAATCGACATATCTCCAAAGAAAACATATAAATAGCCTAAAGTTATATGAAAGGATGCTCAATATCACTAATCATCCGGGAAATGCAGATCATAATCACAATGAGATATCCAATCACTCCTACTAGCATGGCTATTATTAAGAGAAAAAAAAAAAAAAGAAACAACTGTTGGTGAGGATGTGGACAAAAGGAAACACTTATGTACTGTTGGTGGAAATGTAGAATGGTACAGTCACTATAAAAAACAATAGGAAAGTTCCTCAAAAAGTTCAAAATAGACCTACCACTTACCCAGCAATCCCACTTCTGGGTATATATCCAAAAGAATAGAAATAAAGGTCTCAAAGAGTTATCAGCCTCACCATGTTTATGTAGCATAACTCACAATAGCCAAGATAAAAAAATCAACCTAAGTGCCCATCAACAGATCAATGGGTAAAGAAAATGTGATACATTTGGAATACATTGGAGTTCTGTTTATCCTTAAAAGAGGAAATCCTATAATTTGTATCCACATGGATAAACCTAAAGTACATTATGATAAGTGAAATAAACTGGCCACAGGTGAACAAATACTGCATGACTTTACTTATATGAGGTATCTAAAGTAGTCAAACTCATAACATCAGAGAATATAAGGCAATTGTCAGGGGCTGGGGGGAATGAGAGGGAAATGGGGGATTGTGGCTCAATGGGTATAAAGTTTCAGTTATGCAAAATGAATACATTCTAGAGATATGATATAGTACCAATAGTCAATAATACAATATTGTATACTTTTAAAAATGTTGAGAATGGATCTTTTGTTAAGTGTCCTTACTAACAACAACAACAAAAATTAAAACCCCCCAAATCAAACGCCTGCTCCACACACATAAGACCACAAATAAATTTTTGGAAGTGATGGACATATTTATTACCTTCATTGTGGTGATGATACCTTAGGTGTATGCATAGGTGAAAACTCAGAATGTGTAAGTTAAATCTGTGCAATTTTTGTATATTAATTATGTTACAATAAATGTTAAAAAAACAAAGATTCATTTGTTACCTCAAAACTAAGAAACTTATATCTTGATTATAAGTACCCACTGAGCAAAGCATGTATACATACAGCTTCCTAGAGTCAAAAGCAAGATGTATAAATGCAAATTTGTGGGAAAATGACAATTCATTTTAATCTACTAATTACTATAATAAGAGAGTTCCTAACCCAAGACTTAGAGCTTACTTTGAGATATCAAAAAGGTTAAATAAAATGAACTATGCAAGAGATCTAGCATAGAAGAAATAATGATTTATTTAAAAATATCTTCTCTTCCTACTCAATTTTCTGAATAAATAAGCGAAAACTTGACAATGTATAATTATTTTACTCTGGGTAAAATGATGAATTGAACATATGTCATGGGTATATTACAGGCCTATTCAGTGGATCACTTTTGAAGACATGTTTTCTACCAGGTGGCATCGATTCATATAACTCTAGTATTGCTGTTGGGCTTATACTGATTAGAACTGAGGCAGTGCTATGATTAATGACTTGGTAAACTGCAGTATGTAAACTAGCATAAAGAATTCTAATCCTGATATTTCTCTGCCTCTGCACAGCAACTAGAACCAGTTTTTCAAAATACCCAGGTCTCTGCTAAATGCCTACAAGGATTATTTCACATAATTTTGCACTAGTCCTATGATGTATATACTGTTCTTAATGACTTTCATTTGGCATGTAAGACACCAGAGTCATAGCGAATTGATGTAATATACACAGTGTTACAGAGCCAGTTAAAACAGTAGCTCTGCTTTAGGTCCATCTCACTCCAGAGCCCAAGAATCCTACATGCTAACATGGGTCTGATTTCACTCAACTCAGTGCGGATTTTTTAGTGGTCTCATTGTTTCTTCCTTTCTTTTAATTTTCAATTTAATTATTATTATTACTTTTTGGATACAGAGTCTTGCTGTGTCACGCAGGCTGGAGTGCGGTCGCACAATCATAACTCATTGTAATCTTGAACTCCTGGCCTCAAGCATTCCTCCTGCTTTGGTCTCCCAAAGTGCCGGGATTCTCATCAACTATTTTTCATTGAGTTCCTTCTAAAAGATTGTAAAATAAATTTTCTTTTATTATAAACGTCTTTGTCTTTGTATAATTATCAATTATAAAATTAATTTTTTAGTTTATAATAATAGCACTATTCAGATTTCCTCACTGAAATTGTAGGTAGATTTGACAATATGGAAAAGTATCTTGATCCGTTGATAACCTCTTTAGAAAACAGAATATTCTTTTCATGTGCAAATGAAAATAATTAATTTCATCATACAGCTTGCATGGTTTAGAGAAGCACTTTGTTCAAAATTTGAAATTGTTTTTGAAATTTAAAAAATGATTTTTCCCTTCATGTAAAAAACATAAGATAAAATAATACATTTATAATTATTATGTCTGAAAGTTGTTTCTGTATAAAGGTCATAGGCTTTGGCATCAAACAGAATTGGATTTAACTATTAGCTTGATAAGTACTACTTTTGTAACTTAGAGCCATTTTTTAACCTGGGATTTTCTCCCCTTACTTATATATTCAAAATACTAACATTTTAAATGTTAAAATTAATAATGTTAGTAATCATTATCATCTCACCACAAGCTATCTAATTTAATTAGTACTTTAATATGATAAAAGATTTTTTTTATTTTTCAGGAGAAACAGGGTTAGAGAGTATAACTAACTTTACTAATACAGTTAGTAAATATCAGGAAACAGATTTGAACCGAAGTATGTTAGTTTGCTAAGGCTACCATAACAAATACTATAGACTAGGTGGCTTAAAAACCAGAAATTTATTTCTCACAGTTCTGGAAACTTCAGGTGCAAAGTCAAGGTGTTGGCAGGTTTGGTTTTTCCTAAGACCTCTTTCTTTGGTTTACAGATGACCACTTGCTTCCTACCTGTGTCCTCACATGGTATATCCTAATCTTTTCTTATAGGACAGCCATCAGATTGCATTGGACCGCACCCTAATAATCTCATTTTAACTCAGTTACCGCTTTAAAGACTCTACCTCCAAAGACAGTCAAATTCTAAGATACCAGGCTCAGGGCTCCAGCTAACAGTAGGGGAGGGCACAATTCAGTCTTTAATTTCAAATTATGTTCCCAATAATCCAATTTGTATGCTGTCTTCTACAAATACAGAAGCTGCTTAATGAAACACTCAAAAGCCAAGTTTAAAATGAAAATTAAAGGAAGTTTATATTCGTCTTATCATTAAAGGCAAGAGTTCTAAACACTTGCCAAAAAGTTAATTTTTTTTATTTTTCTTTCTCCTCTTCCCCTTTCCTTTTTTCTTATCTTCATCCTCCTATTTTTCTCTTCTTTTTGTTTTTTCTATGTTGTTTTATTTTCTCTTCTTCACCATAATTTCTTCACGAGACTAATTATGTGATCCATACATTTAAATATTTTTTTAAAGTTTTTAGCTTATTTCATCCTCAGAGCAAACCTGCAATATAGAAAGTGTAAAAGAAACATTGCACTAGATATTTGTTGTAAATTGCTGCTTGGAGTTTGCCCCATGAAATCATGGGTCACATTTCAGCAGATATTTGGACAGAGTTTATACATTTAATTTCAGTTCCCACTCTCTAATTCTGTCCCTCTCTCTTTCTCTTACACTTTCTTCTAGAGTTTCCCACCTCAATATTCAATAGTTATTGTTTCCATGAAGTCTATCCTCAGGATATTCAAGCCACTAAAACTGAAGGTTTTTCTTTGAATTTTAGTTGTTTCACATGGCACAGGTAGGGACCTATTCTCAGATTAAAATGTTGAAAACATACCCAGTGTTTTTTTTGTTGTTTCTTCCAATTGTCAGTTCTTCCTGTTTTTGTTCATTCTTCAGTGTCTTCAAGTAGGTTTATGTCTTGTTCTGTTGTTTAGAATTTATAGTTATTACTGGTGGAGAGTTTGATCTGATATTATTATATCAGATAAAATGGAAGCAGAATGTTTAGATTATTGTTTTAATAATAAATTGTTTGTGATTCTATGTGATGATAACTGTACTTTTGTTATGCTTCCATTGAGAAAATGCATAAGAGTAAAGGCTGTTTGGATTTTGTATACTTAAAAAATGTTTGGATATGATCAATTACAATATATACATACACTTTAGCGATAATAGACATGGGATATGTTATTTGGTAGACAAATGAATCTGGTGTCTTCCAGACAGCTTTAGATAATATACAATATCAGATCAACTGATGTCCTGAATCTCTTTCTACAATAAACTCAATGGTAATTTAATGGTTTTGGTCATGTGAATGACAAATTTGTTATATATAATCTTAGTTTGAACACATATCAACTTAAGGCCTGGCTGGATAATTGTAGCAATATTTTTTAGCATTTTTATTCATAAAATCACGGGAGATAACATATTGTTGTATAAAATCTGATTACCACATCTAGAGTTTTTGGCAGAAAATCTGGCCTGTTTTCCAGAGTGTTAAAATATTTTCATAAACTCCCTCTGTCTAAAGAATGGAAATTAGAAGCTTTGGAGCCTGACATATTTGAATTTGAAGCATGGTTTACCACCAACTAGATTTTTACTTTATAAAAATTATTAATCTCTCTGAAGTTGGGAGGGAATGTGTCTAGTATTTGTTGAGGTTTCACTGTGTGGTAGTCTTTATGCTACCTTCTTTGATTATTAAAAGAAATACATAATTTAAGTATTCTTATTAGGTAAGAATATGCATATTTAACTGAATTTATGACTGGATAAATGATCTCTCCTAAATTATAAATATCATATATGAGGGAGCTAAATATTGTATTAAATTATTTCTCTCCAAAATAAGTACATTTTTCTATATGCCATATTACTTCCAGAGTCTGTTTCTATGCTTATGAGATGGATGAAGTACTTACTGCCACAGAAGATTACCATAAGAATTAAAATAAGCTTATTGTAAAAATGTATGAGATTGTTCATGCTTATTAAAGGTTTTGTTGTTGTCATTTCAGGTTCCCCTATTTCAGTAAACAAAAAGAACTACGAATCTTCAGGTGAAACTTTTGCAGCAAAAAAATGAATAGAAAGAAAAAACAAAAGAAATAGAATATTGTGCTTGATTTTTGTAGAATCAATACTTCCTTTTTGACAAGTCTTAAATCAAATTAGCAGAAACTTGAGGGAAATGCATATTGTATTTTTAAAAGTACACAGTAAAGTTGGAAATATTATGCATATGATGTATGTAAAGCAATAGTCCCTCACTTAGGCACAATTTTATTTTCCATAGTTTCAGTTATGTGTGGTCAACTGTGGTCCAAAAATACTAACAGGAAAATTTCAGAAACAAACAATTTGTAAGTTTTAAATTGTGCATCCTTCTGAATATCATGAAATCTCACATTGTCTTGCACTCTCCCACTGAGAACATGAATTATCCCTTCATCTAGCATATCGACGCTGTATTAACCACCCACTAGTCACTTAGTAGCTCCCTTGGCTATCACATAGACTGTTGTGATATCACAACTGTGTGTTCAAGTTACTCTTATTTTACTTAATAAGGGCCCCAAGTGCAAGAGTAGTGATGCTGGCAATTTGAATTTGCAAAAGTTTCTGTAAAATTGCCAAGTTTCTGTAAAAAGCTGCTGGCTTTTTATTTATTTATTTATTTATTTATTTATTTATTTATTTGAGACCAGGTCTTGCTCTGACTCCTAGGCTGGAGTGCAGTGGTGTGGTCACCACCTTAAGTGAAAAGTGAAACTTTATCATAGATATGTACGGTTGATGAAAAAATATAGTATATATAGAATTTGGTGCTATATGCAAGTTCAGGCATTCACTGGGGGGCTGGAACATTTTCTCCATAGATAAGGGGAAACAACTATACTATTATTTCTTATGAGAAGACAATAAAATCTGAAAATTGAAGCGAAGTGTTCTGAGGGTTACTCTTGGTTGATTGAAGAAGACAGCTTTTAAAAATCCAACTATGGGCCAGGCGCGGTGGCTCACAACTATAATCCCAGCACTTTGGGAGGCCAAGGCCGGCGGATCACGAGGTCAGGAGATCGAGACCATCCTGACTAACACGGTCAAAACCCGTCTCTACTAAAAATACAAAAAATTAGCCAGGCACGGTGGCAGGCGCCTGTAGTCCCAGCTACTCGGGAGGCTGAGGCAGGAAAATGGCGTGAACCCAGGAGGCAGAGCTTGCAGTGAGCCGAGACAGCACCACTGCAGTCCAGCCTGGGAGAAAAAGCGAGACTCTGTCTCAAAAAAAAAAAAAAAAAAAAAAAAATTCAACTATAAGAAGTGATAAATACTTATTATAAACACTATCATCACTGTGATTTGTCTCTATTTGGGTTCGGTGAGTTTTAAAATTGCTCAATGTTGACCCCAAGGAGAAAACAACATAGTGGAAACAATGTTGGGTTGATTTATATGTCATTCTACTGTAGAAATCCCTCTGTGCAAGCCTGGAATTGTGGTTTCGGATAATGTGGTAGGCAGGAGCACATTAAGTACTCAATGGCTAACACTCATAAGATTGTGATTTCCTTTCCTTTGAAACAACAAAGCAGAACTCTAATACGATGTGCAGTATCAGGCATGGCAGAGGAAGCATGCACAGTGTAAAGAGGGGAACGCTGCTATCTCTAGGATGTGCTTATGATGCGACAGTTGAGAGAGGGCAGAAGATGGAATGAATAAAGACTTTATCCTGTCAACTAGAACCACGTTAAACTTAACGATATGTATGGACGGTTTACATTTTGAACCTGGCCTGTTTCAATCCAATCCCATACTTGCTGTATGGTTATGGTTAATGACAAAAACAGTATGGACACATACATGCGCATGCACACACACACACACTCTCTCTCTCTCTCTCTCTCCCCCCAAATGTCTTTTGGATTTAAAAGAAAGTATCTGAATATTGAACATTCAGCCATTATATACAGTCATAAAACCTCTTTTAAAAAAAACAAGCAGAATGACTCTAAAGGCTGAATCTCTTCTTAGTAGACTTTTAAAAAGTAATATACATATAAAAAGATGCAAAGCATAAAGTTTCAGCTCATCAAATTTATACCTAGTAAACAAACCTATGTAACTCCCATCCACATGAAGAAAGAGAATATGATAGTCACCATATAGATAGAAGGAGGACTTCATGTTCCTGTCCACTTATTACCTCACCTCTAAATGCAACCATGATCTTTCCTTCCATCATTACAGATTAATCTGGGCTGGTTTTAAATACATGTAAATAGAATCATCATATGGGCTCTCTTAGGTTAGGCTTCTTTTATTCAACATTATATTGAAGATTTATTTTATTACATGCCACATTAGGTACTTTATTTTTATTTTTGGAGATTTTCTCATTGAATAAATATACCATGATTTCTTTATCCATTTTACTATTACTGAACATCTAGTTTGTTTTCAGGCTTTGTCTATTAGAAAGGTATTATTGTTTAACCTCTTAGTCCTATCTTTTAGTGCACATATGGGCATATTTTTGTTAGGTTTCTTACCAGAAATTCATTATTTTGAATTTTAGGATCTGTGTATGTATGTATGCATGTATTTATCTATCTATCTACCTATATATGTATGTATGAATGTATCTATCTATCAATCTGTCAGCAAATAGTTTCTAAAGTTGCTAGAACAATTTCGTCTCCCACCAGTAATGAATTAGAGTTCCTAATGTTCTTCAGCATCACCAATTCTCATAATGCAGATATTGCTTCATATTTTCAGTGGTTTATAAGACAAACATTTGCTCCTCTTACAAATCTGCGTATCGATTGGTGAGGCTCTGCTTCAGGCTGAAGGTTTGGTTCAGGTTTGCTTTGTATGTCTTCATTTTCCTTGGTCCAGGGCATAGTTTTCTTATAAAAAATGACAAGAGCAGCAGGTAAGAACTTTGCAATATCCTTTAAGGCTTCTGCCCAGATTGTCACTTTTGCCCACATTCTGTTGGCAAAAGCAAGTCATATGCACAGGTCAAAAATCAATTGTCTAAAGTTTATAATACTCTGCCTACTCTAATGTTAAGGTATGGCAACAATCGTATGGCAAGGACCATAGATATATATAATTCTAATACAGAGGACAGAATAATCAGGATTTTTTTTTATTTTATTTTAGTCAGCATGGTGGGAATATATTGATACCCCATTGTTGATTTAAGTTGCATTTTACTAAGTATGAATGCTGATTATCATTTTAAATGCTTATTTGATATCCAGATATCTTTTGTGAAGTGACAAAGTTTTCTTTTTTTACCATTTTCTGATTATATTGTCTATTATTTATTCTTTGATATATGAACACTATATATTCTGAATATCAGTCCTTTGTAAATTATATGTTGCAAATATTTTATCCCAGTATGTAGTTTATATATGTGCCCTATTAATGGTATATTTTGATGTTCTTAACTTTAATAGGGTACACATTATTTTTTTCTAATTTTTCAACTACTTCTCATCTTCTTGAAGATATGTTTCCTACTCTTAGTCAAAAATGTACTTGTTGTTATAACTCTCACATGTAGATCTGCAATCCATTTGAAATTGATTTTTCTATATCCTGTTACTTAGAGAATCAAATTCATTATTTTCACGATAAAATCCAAATTGAGCTAGCACTACTTATGAAAGAAAAGTCCATTTTATTTCCCATTGAATTGCATTGGCAAGTCTCTCAAAAGTCAAGGATCCATGTATTAGTAGCTATCTGTCCAGATTCTCTATTCTGCATCATCACTCCATTTGTCTATATAGTTAATGCAAATTTCACACTGCCCTAATTTTACTTGCTTGATAATAAATCTTGATATGTGTTAGTATAAATCCTAAAGCTTTCATTCCTTTTTATGGTTACCTCGACTCTTTATAGTATTTTGCTTTTTGACAGAAAATCAACAAACAGCTTGCCAATATCCACAAAAACCTACTTACAGCTTTTGATTACAATGAAACTATAAATCACCTAGGAGGAAATTGATATCTTTACAGTATTATGTTTTCCACTCAGTAAAACTAGAATAACTTAAAGAATGTATAATTAAACTATGAATATTTAAGAAATTATCAATGACAATGAATACAAAATTAGAAATATTATTTTTCTATATCAGAAAAATTAAATATTCATCTTATAGCTATTATTATTTGAAGTGTTTTTGTTTTGTTTTTTATTTGTATTATCAAGCATCCTAAAGCATTTTAAATTACTCAGTTTGCTTTTATATATTTCTATTGAACAATGTATGATTTTTCTATAAGTTGTGAAAAAAATCAACTCAGTTATATAGAACCAGAGATAATAAACAGGAATAAAGTGCATGTTCCCCCAGTTTAAAAAATCATATTAGGTATTTAAAAATATGTATAATTTTCTTATTTTCCAATGTTTCCTGTTAGTCTACGACTAAACACAAAGTTTTTTTGGCTGTTTTGACTATATTATTCTATGGATATTTGCATACATGTGCACTTGTCTAAAGGTATATTCTACTGAATTTTTTGACACTGAATTATTACATCGTATTTTTTCATGAAAATATACACATGCACACAAGCACACATAGTTGATATTGATACTGAACCTGATATTGATACACATCAATGAGCTAGGTATTATACACAAATGCATACACCCAATGCAAAAGTTCAAAACCATCTTTCTTATCTACCATCCACAGCCTCATAGTTCTTAATACTCTGTTGTTATTGTGTATTGTGGTGCTGATTATACAGGTATATTAGTTTACTTGCAATGTCATAATAAATACCACAGACTAGGTGGCTCAAACAACAGAAATTTATATTCTTCCAACTTCTGGATAAGCCCAAGCAGGGTTGGTTTCTTCTGAGGCCTTTCTCCTTGGCTTGTAGATAACGGTCTTCTCCTCCTTGGTTGTTCACTCTGTACCAGTCCGTGACCTATTCTTTTATATGGATCTCAACCAGATGAAATTACGGCTCTGCTAATAACCTGATTTTAACTAAATTGCTTCTTTAAAGAGCCTATCTCTAAATACAGCTACTGTCTCAGATACTAGGTGTTAGAACTTCAACATATGAATTGTGGGGAAACACAATTTAGCCCATAGCAGCAGATGTGTTTAATTTGTGATATTAATTGATCTGTATACTTACAATATGAGTAAACACACACGCGTAATTTAAGGAGTTCCAAATAACAGTTTGTGATCTGCCCTCTACTGCCCCTGGTCCTGGTTCTTTGGCTGTATCTGAATCTTTTCTTTCCTTTAACCTGGGCTGACTCTGCTTAATAACAATTCTTCAAACTTTGAATTCATCTCCATGTTTTAGAAGATTTTAAAATAACTTTTATTTTATTTCTGAGGTCCTGAGGGCCTAGGCTACCCCCATAGCTCTCTGATCTAGTGGGTGCTGCTGGTTGTTTTGGATTGCCTATGCAAATTGGAACCTGTGTAGTCCTCTATTATTAATCTCCCAGGCTTTCTTCAGACCTCCTTGCAGTCAGTGGGTTTTACTCTCCCTCCAGATGAGTATTTATGTCTACTTCTGTGTTATTTGGCCGTGAGGATCCTCAGAACTTCCTTTTCTGCCCACTTCCACTATTTCAGTACAGCTGGTACTTGCACACAGAGGCTGCAGGTTTTGTGGTAGTGGATGTTTAGTCTCATATACCAAAGTGCACGCTCATACCTTGTCACTTAATTTGCTGCAAGCCGTTGTCTGTATTTATTCTGTTCTTTTTGTCATCCTGGCTGCTATTCATCTTTTAAGAGAGATCTGACAATGATTATGAATCCTGAGTCATGGTCGGACATGGTGGCTCACGCCTGTAATCCCAGCACTCTGGGAGGTGGAGGCGCCGGGATCACTTGAAGTCAGGAATTTGAGACCAGCCTGGCCAACATAGCGAAACCCCATCTCTACTAAAAATACAAAAATTAGCCACCAGTTGTAGCGGCGCACGCGAGTAATCCCAGTTACTCAAGAGGCTGAGGCACGAGAATCTCTTGAGCCTGGGAAGCGGAGGTTGCAGTGAGCCTAGATCGTGCCACTGTACTCCAGCCTGGGTGAAAGAGTGAGACTTTGTTTCAAAATAAAATAAATAAATAAATACATACATAAATACATACTGAGTCAAGGTCAAGGTTTTATCCCAGCAGCAAGTCCTTACTTTCAGGTTTTAATGTTTCAGTTTTTTATAATAACATTCTATTAATTTCAGAAGATGAAAAATGATGAAGGTAAACACTGAATGCTCGAAAAGTAAAACTAGGTAACCTAATCAGAGTACATTTTAATTGTATGATTGTGCATCATTTCGGTGATCCTGCCTATATAATTGTTAGTTTTCTGAGCATTTGGACTTACTCTATAAAATTCTGACAAATAACAGTGATTATTAGAGAGATGGTTTCTAGTGGCATGTATATACAGTGTTCAGTGGACTTTAGACATTCAATACATTTAACTTTTAGCAAATATTAGGCCATACTTAACTCAAAGCTATAATTTGATAAATTTGTCCAAAAAATAAAGCTTATGCATGTATTCCAAAAAAGTAAATGGAATAGATACTATAAATATTATATATTTTATTAAATGATTTATGTTACATAATATATAATACATATTGCTTATATCACTATGAGAATATGTCATATATATGCTTTTATTTTTAAAATATCTGCTTATAATAATACCTATTCCCACAATAATAAAGATGTAAATTAAAAATACATTTCGGTTGTCATCTGGTATCCTTTTTGCGATATAACCACTATTACTATTTACTGTATTTTTTTAGATTTTTAAGTGCACAAGAATATCCACTTATATCAATTTACTGCATAAATGAGAATATTCTATGCACATTCCTCTGAATCTTTCCTCTTTAATAATATCTTAAGGGTTTTTTGCATATTAACACATAGCTCATTATTTTATCATATACATAATATTTCATTGAGTGGGTATCACCATAATTTATTTATTTCAGCCCTTACCGAGGTATGTATCCATTGTTTACAGTAATCTATTACATATTATTATGATCTAAATGTGTCCCCCCCAAAACATTCATATGTTGAAACTAAATTACCAATTTGATTAGTACAAAGTTGGACATCTGGGAGGTAATTAATTCGTACATAAGGATTAACACCCTTATAAAAGACGTTTCAGAGAGCTGTTAATGCCTTTTGCTCCTTCACTGGCCTCATCTTCACTCCAAGATGATGCAGCGAGAAGCCTTCTCCAGACGCCAATCTTCCATCACCTGGATTTTTGACTTCCCAGTTTCCAAAACTGTGAGAAATACATTTCTATTACTTATAAGTTACCAAGTGTTATATATTGTTATAGCAGTATCAACAAATTGTGACAAAATTGGTAAAGAGAAGTAGGGTATTAGAACAAGTACTTAAAAATGTGGAAGCAGCTTTGGAACTGGGCAGTGGGTAGAAGCTAAAAGAGTTGGGAAGTGAATGCTAGAGAAAGCCTACATTTCCATGAATGCACCATTAAGGGCAATTCTTGTGATGGCTCAGAAGCAGAAGAGAGCTGTAGGGAAAGTCTGAATCTTCTCAGAGATTACTTAAGTGGTTGTGATGAGAATACTGGTAGAAATATGGACAGTAAAGGCCATTTTGATGAGGTCTCAGATGGAAGTGGAGAACAAGATATTGAAAACTCAAAGAAATGTCATCCTTGTTATAAAGTGACAGCACTTGGCTAAATTGTGTCCCTCTCCTAGTGCTTTATGGAAGACAGAACTCTGAGCAATCTTTTTTTGTTGTGTCTCTGCCAGGCTTTGGTATCAGGATGATGCTGGCCTCATAAAATGAGTTAGGGAGGATTCCCTCTTTTTCTATTGATTGGAATAGTTTCAGAAGGAATGGTACCAGCTCCTCCTTGTACCTCTGGTAGAATTCGGCTGTGAATCCATCTGGTCCTGGACTTTTTTTGGTTGGTAAGCTATTAATTATTGCCTCAATTTCAGAGCCTGTTGTTGGTCTATTCAGAGATTCAACTTCTTCCTGGTTTAGTCTTGGGAGGGTGTATGTGTCGAGGAATTTATCCATTTCTTCTAGATTTTCTAGTTTATTTGCGTAGAGGTGTTTGTAGTATTCTCTGATGGTAGTTTGTATTTCTGTGGGATCGGTGGTGATACCCCTTTATCATTTTTTATTGTGTCTGTTTGATTCTTCTCTCTTTTCTTCTTTATTCGTCTTGCTAGTGGTCTAGAGAATTTAGACCAATATCCCTGATGAACATCGAAGCAAAAATCCTCAATAAAATACTGGCAAACCGAATCCAGCAGCACATCAAAAAGCTTATCTACCATGATCAAGTGGGCTTCATCCCTGGGATGCAAGGCTGGTTCAACATATGCAAATCAATAAACATAATCCAGCATATAAACAGAATCAATGACAAAAGCCATGTGATTATCTCAATAGATGCAGAAAAGGCCTTTGACAAAATTCAACAACACTTCATGCTAAAAACTCTTAATAAATTAGGTATTGATGGGACGTATCTCAAAATAATAAGAGCTATCTATGACAAACCCACAGCCAATATCATACTGAATGGGCAAAAACTGGAAGCATTCCCTTTGAAAACTGGCACAAGACAGGGATGCCCTCTCTAATCACTCGTATTCAACATAGTATTGATAGTGTTGGAAGTTCTGGCCAGGGCAATTAGGCAGGAGAAGGAAATAAAGGGTATTCAATTAGGAAAAGAGGAAGTCAAATTGTCCCTGTTTGCAGATGACATGATTGTATATCTAGAAAACCCCATTGTCTCAGCCCAAAATCTCCTTAAGCCGATAGGCAACTTCAGCAAAGTCTCAGGATACAAAATCAATGTGCAAAAACCACAAGCATTCTTACACACAAATAACAGACAATCAGAGAGCCAAATCATGAGTGAACTCCCATTCACAATTGCTTCAAAGAGAATAAAATACCTAGGAATCTAACTGACAAGGGATGTGAAGGACCTCTTCAAGGAGAACCACAAACCACTGCTCAATGAAATAAAAGAGGATACAAACAAATGGAAGAACATTCCATGCTCATGGGTAGGAAGAATCAATATCGTGAAAATGGCCATACTGCCCAAGGTAATTTATAGATTCAATGCCATCCCCATCAAGCTACCAATGACTTTCTTCACAGAATTGAAAAAACTACTTTAAAGTTCATATGGAACCAAAAAAGAGCCCACATTGTTATGTCAATCCTAAGCCAAAAGAACAAAGCTGGAGGCATCACGCTACCTAACTTCAAACTACACTACAAGGCTACAGTAACCAAAACAGCATGGTACTGCTACCAAAACAGAGATATAGACCAGTGGAATAGAACAGAGCCCTCGGAAATAATGCCACATATCTACAACTATCTGATCTTTGACAAACCTGACAAAAACAAGAAATGGGGAAAGGATTCCCTATTTAATAAATGGTGCTTGGAAAACTGGCTAGCCAGATGTAGAGAGCTGAAACTGGATCCCTTCCTTACACCTTATACAAAAATTAATTCAAGATGGACTAAAGACTTAAATGTTAGACCTAAAACCATAAAAACCCTGGAAGAAAACCTAGGCAATACCATTCAGGACATAGGCATGGGCAAGGACTTCATGTCTAAAACACCAAAAACAATGGCAACAAAAGCCAAAATTGACAAATGGGATCTAATTAAATTAAAGAGCTTCTGCACAGCAGAAGAAACTATCATCAGACTGAACAGGCAACCTACAGAATGGGAGAAAATTTTTGCAACCTACTCATCTGACAAAGGGCTAATATCCAGAATCTACAATGAACTCAAACAAATTTACAAGAAAAAAACAAACAACCCCATAAACAAGTGGGCGAATGATATGAACAGACACTTCTCAAAAGAAGACATTTATGCAGCCAAAAGACACATGAAAAAATGTTCATCATCACTGGCCATCAGAGAAATGCAATTCAAAACCACAATGAGATACCATCTCACACCAGTTAGAATGGCGATCATTAAAAAGTCAGGAAAAAACAGGTGCTGGAGAGGATGTGGAGAAATAGGAACACTTTTACACTGTTGGTGGGATGGTAAACTAGTTCAACCATTGTGGAAGTCAGTGTGGCCATTCCTCAGGGATCTAGAACTAGAAATACCATTTGACCCAGCAACCCCATTGCTGGGTATATACCCGAAGGATTATAAATCATGCTGCTATAAAGACACATGCACACGTATGTTTATTGCGGCACTATTTGCAATAGCAAAGACTTGGAACCAAGACTAATGTCCAACAATGAGAGACTGGATTAAGAAAATATGGCACATATACACCATGGAATACTATGCAGCCATAAAAAAGATGAGTTCATGTCCTTTGTAGGGACATGGATGAAGCTGGAAAACATCATTCTCAGCAAACTATCGCAAGAACAAAAAAACAAACACCACATGTTCTCACTCATAGGTGGGAATTGTACAATGAGAACACTTGGACACAGGAAGGGGAACATCACACACCAGGGCCTTTTGTGGGGTGGGGGGACGGGGGAGGGATAGCATTTGGAGATATACGTAATGTTAAATGACGAGTTACTGGGTTCAGCACACCAACATGGCACACGTATACATATGTAACTAACCTGCACATTGTGCACATGTACCCTAAAACTTAAAGTATAATAATAATAAAAGGAACTTTAAGCAATCAACTAGGATAGCTGGCAGAAGAAATATCTAAGTAAAGTTTTGAGAGTGCAGCATGGCTTTACTTGACTGCTTATAGAAAAACGTAAGAGGAGAGGAAAAAAAGGATAAAAATGAAATTTATAATCAAAGGGGAAGCAGAATGTAATGAGTTGAAAATTCATACCCTCTAGAAAATGAGAAAATGTATTCAAGCGATAACACCAGGGGTGTGGCCAAGTGACTGATAAAGGAGAATCATATGGATGGGCAGAAACCAGGTGGTATTCATTAAGACCAAAAAAAAAAAAAAAAAAATGACTCCACAGGCATTTGGAGATCTTAGAGGCTGCCAATTCCATGATAGGCCCAGAGTGCCACAGCCTTGAGGGCAGAATGGTTTCAAAGGAGGGTCCCAAGGAACACACAGGACCTTGGGGCTCACTGCCCAGGGCCACCTGAAGATTGTGTTTCCCACATTCTGGCAGCGTTCCTCAGATGATCCAGGTGTGGCTTACACAGACCCTAGTGCCGCTCAGGCCATCTCTCCGGACCACACATGAATTGGTGGTAAACTTTGTTGGCATCCAAATGGTGCTAACTCTGCAGGTGTGCAGAGTGTATGAGCTGTAGAGGCATGGCTACCCTTACCTAGATTTCAAAACATGCCTGGGACAGACTCAAGGCCCAGGAAGAGAACTGTCCCAGGGGCAAAGCTGCTGCAGAGAGGCTTCACTAGGGCAAGGCCTAGTGGACCCATGGGAGTGAGGCTACTACTAAGACTGCAGAATGGTAGAGCCACCAGTGTGCAACCATAGCCTGAGAGAGCTACAGGAACAAGAATCAAGGTGTGAGATCTGTGATTTTGGTTGTGCCCTGCAAAGTTGTGAAAGTTGGGCTCTGAGAGCCTTGGGGGCCCAAATTCCTGCTTCAGTGTGTTCATAAGGCAGGAAATGAAGTCAGAGAAGATTATCCTCAAGGCTCAATATTTAATGGTTTGCTCTGTTGAGTTTTGGACTTACTTGGGGCTAATTATCCCTTTCTTCTTCTCTATATTTTCCTGTTGGATAGGAATATTTACCCTATCTCTGTCTCACCATTGTATTTTGTAAGCATGTAACTTGTTTGAGTTCATATATTCACAGCTAGAGACCAATTTGCCTCAGGATCAATCAATTGTACCTTGAGTCTTATTAATTTCTGACTTAGAAATGAGAAGTATTTTGGGCTATTGAGATAAAATGAATGTATTTTTCAGGTAACAAGGACATGGATTTGTGGGGAGTGGAGGGCAGGGGTGAAATGCTGTGGTCTGAATGTGTCTTCTCAAATTGCAAATGTTGAATCTTAATCTCCAATGTAATAGTGTTGGAAGGTTGGGACCATGGGAAGTAATCATGAGGGCCTTGTGCTCATGAATGGTAGTAATGTGCTTTTAAAAGACTCTTCAGAGAGCTTCTATCTCCTTTTGGCTTTCTACGTGCTGCCATGTGACAACACAGCAGTAAGGTGTCATCTTGGCGGCAAAGAGTGAGCCTTCACCAGACAGAATCTGCTGGCTCCTTGACCTTGGACTTCCCAGCCTCCAGAGCCATGAGAAATAAACTTCTATTATTTATAAATTACCCATTTTAAGGTATTTTGTTATAGTGGTATGAATTGGCTAAGACACAAACAATGTTGCAATAAAAATCTCATTATGCAAATAACATGGTTTTGAGGATTAAAAAAAATCTTTCCTGCAATCCAAATGCTTAGATACTTTTATAGTCTCAAAAAAATTAAAAAATCATGAACTTTCTGAAAAATATATTGAGAGATAAAAAATAGACAGGGATAAATAAGAAAAAACAGATAATTTTAAAAAATAAAGAAAAAATAAAAAGTATTCAAGAACTTAAAACTAGAAGTCTACCTGCTAAATCTGCCTAGAGGAACTTAGAAGAACACTGCAGAACTGCTGTATCATATAGAGTAATTTCCATATTAAATGATTAAGATATTTAAGCTGAGTATAAAAACAACATTAAACAAGAAATATGGTCTTTAAAGATAAGCATTAAGTAAACAACTCAGATGGTTTTACTCTAAATAGATTTTTAAATACATGATATAAAGATGCTGTGGCATAGTTATACCTTAAGATATTATTCAGCCTTAAAAAGGAAATCCTGCCATTTGTGACAACATGAATGAACTATGAGGACATTTCCTAGAAGACATAAGCCATATAAAAAAGAGAAACACTGCATGATCAAACTTACATGGGGAATCTTAAAAAAAAAATGAATACATAAAAACAAAGAGCATAGAAAGGTGCTTTACCAGAATTTGAAGGAGTGGGGAAAATTAGGAGAGATATATCAAAAAGCACAAATACGCAATTATCTCAGATGAGCAAGGCTAGAATGTACAGCATGAGAATTGTAGGTAATAATATGGTATACAGGAAATTTGCTTGAAAGTAAAAAAAATTTAATTTTGTGAGATGATCGATATGTTAATTTATTTGACTGTAGTAGACACTTCACTATGTATGTGTATATAAACCATCAAGCTGTACACCTTGAATATATACAATAAAAATTAAAAAGATATAGTTAAAATAAAGGCAATATTTATAATATTAGTAAATAGAAAATAATTTGAGAAAATTAAATATACAGAGAAAATAAAACCATTTTGATAGATGAAATATCTAAAGCATACTGAAGATCAATTAAATATAAATCTTTAAATATTTAGTAAGAGCATGAAATATATGAAAGGGGGAACCAACAAGAATACAATAGAGGCATTCTTTAATAATTTGACTTCATAACGATGAAAAAGCAAATAAAATATATAGAACAGACGTGATAAATCGTCATTCATTCTGGGACTACACACATAAAGTAAGTGTGTTAGACAATCTTGTGTAGATCATGAACTACTATATGTGAAATACAATTATAGGCACTGGTAGTTCTAATTAATATACTCCTTTAATTAAATAATCTGAATTAGTGACCGAAAATGACAAAATTATAAGTGTTGCACTTAACGTAATTATCTAGGAAATTTAAGAATATGACCTGGAAACAAAAGTCATTTTAGGGTATGAGAAATGAGTAAAATACCCTCATTTTACTCATGAGGTAAATGAGAAGAAGTAATACAGAAACATAGAGAAACATAAATACTTTTGCATTTGCAGTATCCAGAAAAAACTGAAATAGAGAAAAAGCTTCATTCACAGTGACAAGAAAATATAAAATATTTATGTATGTGTTTTGGTACAAATAATAATTACTAAAATATAATGTGGATAATAAAAAAATTAGCAGAGAAGCCTATCATGTTCTAAGATTAGAATAAATATTGTAAAAATATCAATGAAATTATACTTATACATGCACAAGTAATGTAATCTAAAAAGTTTAATAATTTTGGAACTTGATATCAGGAAGATAGTCAAAGTACTTTTTAGAAGATATTGAGAGATGAAGTTCATACTGCTAAAGAGTTAAATAAAATATAACTCTCTAATAGCTGAAAAGTAAAACTGTGACTATAATGGTCCCACTATAATGGTGAGATCAATCAATGAAACCAAATGGAATAGAAATATAAGGTCTGTGTGTGTGCGTGTGTGTGTGAGTGAGTTAGTGTGTGTTTTTTTAAAGCATGTGTGTAGATCTTCTAGAATATTATATAATACAGTAGATACACAATTACAAAAAACATGGGCACATAATTTTTAATTAACTGAATTTAAGTGATGTATTAACTCTTTGGAAATCATGATATATTGTGTATAACCATGTTAAAATAAAACGAAGAAAAAATAACATATATGGTGTTCAGATTTTAAGTGATCTTTGCTCTTCAATGATGGAAAGACAATAAGGGTGTAATCATGCAAAGTAAGATTAAGTACATTAATACAAAATAAAAATTATTTGTCTTAGATTTTTGTGCGGGGTTGGAGGAAACATATGAGTCTTTTTTTTTTTAAGTATAACAATTGCTCTTTGTCTTGTAAGTGGCTGCAAGTCATGATGCATTTTCATTTCCCCTACAGGCTACTAGACAAGATTACACAATATGCTATTCCCAGTGCTGCCACCCATTCTTGTTAGGCTTTGCATTTCCTATATTCGGTCTATCATTTGTGTAAAGAGGAATGAGTTGCTTTCTCCGACGTTTCATAGAGCCAGGTAGGCATGAAGTCTGGCAATAGAACAGCAGTGACTGACATTATCCGTAACTCAACTTGCAGACAAGGATTGGTTGATCAATAAAAGCATTCTTTTGACATAGATGACAATTTATTCTTTATTGATTGTCAAATGATGAGTAATATCCTGCATCTGGCATTCTTGCCTCTTATACATTATCCTGTGACTCCATTTCTGTTGTTGACTGATTCTTGACTATAATTATAGGTTTCTTTCCTTATTCAAAGTGGGTAGTATAGCATTTTTTCCACTTTATCTGCATACTAACTGTTTAAATTTGATTTATATCACCTGACTCAATTTTTCTTTCACAGGTTTCTCATAAAATGATGCTTGCAATGAAATCACTGATAACAAAATAGATTTATCTAATTTGCTCTTGCCCGTAGCACATACGGCAATATCTCCAAGAGCACTGCAGTTAACCTTGCTCCTTGGAGTCTTGAAGAGCTATTTTAGGTGTGCTTACTATGTACATGTCCCTTTCTGCTTTGCCTTCGTTTTGTTCTAAATGCCTCACGGTGCCTGTAGAAGGTTTGTTACCACTCTCTCTGCTGATTGCCTGTGCAGGCATCTCCAAATACAAAGGAGGTAACACTAAATATCACTACCTTTAAGAACTGTACTGCCTTCCCCAAACTGACCCCTGAGGTTACTGCATTCTTCAGTTTGATAGATTAACTCTTCTGCCTGATGATTGCTGCCTTTAGTAAGCAAGGACACACACACGCACAGGTGTAGAATCTTTTAACAATCTCTCTCGGAGCTTTTCATTAAAAAATAATAAATAAATAAAAAGCTCCTTCATTCTCTGCCTGCAGACGCTTGTTTTCCCTTTGGGATCAGGAGCTTCTGCACGATCAAATCTTAGTGACACACGATTTAGTCAGAATTGCCTCTTTCTACAGAAGACTGAGGCTTTGCTATTGCACCATGCTTAGCATGGTGTCAATCTTCTATTTTGGACCATGTGTCAAATCTTCTATTTCTCAGTTTTCTCCAAGGGTAATCTAATAAACCCATATGGAAATAAGCTCACAAGAATCTCTACTTTATCTAATTAACTATTCTCGGGTATCTCTGATAGAATTTACACTGAAATTGGAACCCTAGTCATACTTATCTTCTTGAAACAATGTTTTGCTTTTAATAGACAATACGTTGTTGCTGTGGGAAAGTGAAATGCATATAAAAGAAATAAGGAAATACATGCAACCCCGTGTCTCAGAAATAACTGGTAACTTTGTGTTAGTTAATATTTGATGAGTAAATATAAAAACGTAGTTATATGCAGCAAGACAGATATTATTTACATGGATAGTACTGTATGTTAATAAATAAATGGAAGTATACGTTTTGTATTGTGTTTTAACCGGTATTTTCCAGTTAACATTGTAACATGAGAGCTATTCTGTTAATAAATATCATTTCACATTTTTATTACTAAGAGTGCTCTTAGTAAGAATAATTATAATATTAATCATAGCTAACATCTGATGTTTGTATATGCTACCAGACTGTATTTCATATGCTTTATATACACCAGCTCATGCCTTTGTCTCAACCTCCCTATGAGTTACACACATCCTATTAGTATTACCACTCTAGAGATATAAAATAAGAATTTGGGACTTTCTGGTAGTACACAATAGTTCTTAGATAGCAAGTGTTCATTCACAGAAGAAAAAAATAGAAAAGCTCAACAAAATATGACACTTGGGCCTACTAATCATTAAAAACAAAAAATAAAATAAGAATGGCCTATCTTCAATTCATCCACAGTATTTTCAAATTAAAAATGTTAATTTTGTTTAGTGATTGAATGTGAGATTGAAGTTATCCTTGCATAATGATGGTGAATATGTAAGTTACTGCAGCAATTTGGGGCTACAAATCAAAATTTAATTTATAGAAATTTATACATAATATATTTGGACAAGTGTCCAATGTTTGATGCCATAGAATTTGCATCCCATCACTTTTCATCAGAGTGTTAACTTTAGAAACAAGGTAAATGTCTTGTAGTTGTACAAGTTAAATGTCTTGTAATTGTACAATTGTTATATAAATTATGTTACATTCATATACTTGACTATTGCAAAATTAGTATAAATATATTTGATTATGTTGATAGGTAGAAATGACTATTGTTGAGTGGTAAGACTATCACATTATTCTACTTTTTCCTTGATGCATTTGTATCTAACTCTTTAGACAAAAGAATGAAAAGTTAGTAAGGAGGGGAAAAGATATTTAATTTAAAAAAAAATCATAATTTACCCTTCCAAAAATTTTTATATGAAATGACCTCATCTACTAGTGTCATTATTTAAATTAAAATATATTTTAAATGATTTTTAAATTTTATGTGAAGCTTTGCAATGTATATTTAAATTTTTCTCTAAAAATTGGTAAACAGTTTATCACAATACTTTTAGAAATATTTCTCCTTTCATCATTATCTAATGATGTATCCTAGATTGTATATTACATGTTTTATGCTCTCTTCCTGGGTTGTATATTGTTTTCCTCTCAATTAACTGTCATATTGCCTCAGTTTTACAGTATTTTAACTAATTCCTTAAATTACAATTTCAAATGATTTCTTGCTGGTAAAATGCCAGGTTTTCTATTCATTATTAAGTTTTTATTTCTAATATTGAAAATCATATTCCATGCTTTAATTACAGGAAGTAATTTGTTACATTTGTCGGGTAACTTGACAATTTACAAAGCATATGCCTATACACCATCCTACAATCTGATAAAAACACTGTCAATGAAGTGCTATCATTATGATTCTTTAACAGATGAGCAAACTGAGGTTCACTGAGGTTATCACCAGCTGAAGAAATTATTACATTGTGAAGATGGATTCATATCTAATTCCTGTATTTCATTGAACCTCAGAGGCCATTGACTGTAAGATATACCATTATTTTATGCATCAAAAAATGAAAACATTGTTAATTAAATCATGAAAGAGTTTATTCAGATCACTTTAACCCTATATTTTAATCTTATTGAAAAAACAATCTGTGGATTATTTTACATGTTGATTTTTGTCATATATTGTGCTGCTCTAGCTTGAGGTCTTTCTACATGCAAACTAATTTATGTAAATGTTGAGTGTTTATAATGCTTACAATTTTTTTTTTAAAAGTGAAAGGAAGATCATTAGAGAAGTAAAGAAACAAAAGAATGGCTGTTCCATTGGCATAGCATTCCCAAGGGCTGTGGGTTGACTTATCTTTATATTTTTGAATATATTTTAAACAATAAAACTCTCTGTCTCTTGCTATCTCTCTCTATATATGTGTGTATATATATATATATATATTAC
Organism: Homo sapiens; assembly: GCF_000001405.40. Classification (NCBI taxonomy): domain Eukaryota; kingdom Metazoa; phylum Chordata; class Mammalia; order Primates; family Hominidae; genus Homo; species Homo sapiens. The sequence continues at coordinate 102,704,635 of NC_000009.12, forward strand.
ATCATATATATGCATAAACTTATATATGTAATTATATGAAACTAACAAAGTAGATAATTTAAACAATGGTGTTGTGAACAGCTATGAGCACATTTGCACATACATAAGGAATTAAGATAACATTATATTATTGATTTGCAAATTCTGGGTTTCAGTTGGTATTGATTGTAAGGCTAATTAAGGGTAATAAAATGTGAAAAAAGAGCACATCTTTGAGTCAATGGGATAAACTGTTTTTAAGCTTTCGTCTCTAGGTCAAAGGTATATACTAGCATCATTCAGTCTCTCATGAACAAAACTGAAAAATAAAGATAAAAAGCTTAGTAACGTTAGTTTTTTTTAGCACCTTTGACTTTCAGTAGTTGTGTAGGATTAACAAATATTTAAGTATCTAACATTTGCCAAAGTCTATAATGGATTCGAAGCTCCCAGAAATGTTTTTTTTTTTTGTTTGCTTTTTTTTTTTTCCTGAAAAGTCACAAGCATTATGCCACATTATTTTTCAAAAACATAACATAAATCCTTAAACCTACAAAAAGGTCGTTTAAAAACATCTGACACTGGCCGGGTGCGGTGGCTCACGCCTGTAATCCCAGCACTTTGGGAGGCCGAGGTGAGCGGATCACGAGGTCAGGAGTTCCAGACCATTTCGGTCAACATAATGAAATCCTGTCTGTACTAAAATACAAAAAATTATCGGGGTGTGGTGACACGTGCCTGTGGTCCCAGCTACTGGGGAGGCTGAGGCAGGAGAATCGCCTGAACCCGGGAGGCGGTGGCTGCAGTGAGCCGAGATTACTCCACTGCACTCCAACCTGGGTGACAGAGTGAGACTCCGTCTCAAAAAAAAAAAAAAAAACTGACACTTATCTCCACTGTATTATGTAATCCAATGTTTTCATTTATTCTCAATCTAATTTTCTATCCGATTGGTGTGTTGCAACGATTTCAATTCAGTTCCCTTGATCATGTCTGGCAATGTCCCACCTTTTGCCCATTTTCACAATGGTTTCTCTTTACCCAGAATATACTTTACCTTCATTTAAAAAAAAAAATCTGACTTTCTACCTATTATCCAAGTCATATTTTTGTTAGTGTTATATTTAGCTACCCCACTGGATATGATGTCTGTGAGAGGGTTCCTAACACATATTGTCAATTTTGCAAATTGGTATTTATAGTTTTGTATATGAATATTTTAATGTGTTTAAATAGCAAGAATAGAATTAAAGTTTCAGTCTTTTAATGGCTTTGTGTCTTGGGTCTTTGGCTTTCAGAAGTGTTTCTTCCCCTCAGCCAGTGGTTAGTTTCTTCACACCGATGTGTTTTCATTTTCCTGGCTACAGCGTTTCCAATCTATTTCCTTCATGCCTTGTACCCTATTTACTATATTCTCTCCCATCTTTGATGAGACAAGAAGGCTGGAGGGGACTGCACTAATGAGAAATTTCTTTTCCAAGCTGGAATAAGGCAAATTCCTTTCCCCTGGAGGGTTGATCTTTATAAAGAAAGATCTGGGTATTTTTCAGTCTCCTATTCCCCTCTTTCTGTAGGAGCCATAACTGTATCTTTCTCCAGTGTTCACCACAATAACATGATCTAATTCCTGGCAGGAAAGCCCACCAAAAACTACCCTCTCTTGAAAACGCAAACAAACAAAACTCACACTAGCCACCTATAATTTATTAAATTTACTAATTAAGTGTTACTTCTATATGACTCCAGGAGTTTCTATCTGAGTTAAACAGATCTCTATTGATGTATCTTGCTGGATGTGACTACTTCTGTCAATGTGGAAATTTGGCCTCTGAACTAAGGTCTCTAATGGGTCCTAGAAAATGTTTATTTTCAGTTCATTTTTAGTTTGTCCAGATTTTTATTGTGGGGAGTGGACTTTTTACATGTGAGACTCTTTTACATGTGAGAAGTCTTTACTGAGAGCTGAAACCAGAAGTCTCAGGTGACATTTATTTATTTATTTATTTATTTATTTTTGAGACAGAGTCTTGCTCTGTCACCCTGGCCGGACTACAGTGGTGTGATCACAGCTCACTGCAGCCTTGATCTTCCAGACTCAAAAGATCCTCCTGCCTCAGTCTCCCTAGTAACTGGGACTAGAGGCATATGCCCAGGATGGTCTTGAACTCCTGAGCTCGAATGATCCTCCTGCCTTGGCCTCCCCAAGTGCTGGGATTACATGCATGAGCCACCACACTTGGCCCTCAAATAACTTTTAATGGCATAATAAAATCTTCCTGATAAATTTTTTAATGAAAATAAGACAAGATATTAAATTTCCCATGAAGATGGCTTCACTCCCATTCAAATAAAAGCCATGCAATTAAGGAAAGCAATCTGAAAGTGAGCGAAACAAAGTGCAATAGTGGTAATATCCTGGTTTAATTTTCCATTTTCTTTCTTGTGTATTCAGGTTTTTTTTTACAATTATCATTTATCAAATAAAAGCATAAGAAAATAAACATTAAAATGTTTATGTATAATGGTTTTAAACAAAACTAAGAAAACTAAAGAGTAAAATATGTCGTAAAAGAGTAGGACAAAGCCTTCATTATACTGCATATTGTCAATATATTGTCATTTTTACAAAATTTTGAAGGTAAGAACACAGGTGATACAAGGTTTCAGCATGTGCCATTGGAAAACCTCTCTAGTTGACACTGACTTGTCATTCACTTCTAGCGCAACTTATTTGTTTATTGTTCATTTATCATACATATTCAATTTGTGTGATGTACTGCTACCAGAGGACTTAGCTGTCAGATATCCTCAATACAGTGTTAAAATGGTGCAATAAAAGTTGTATAAATATAATTATGCCACCTTTCTTGTAAACTTTAATTCCTTTCTAAAGGATAATATTGAGTTCTAGAAGATTAGCTCCCTATTTCAATCTCCTTTTTTTAGTTTTGCATTATATCTCAATTCTCCTCCCCAAGATGAAAATGCACACAATGCCACATGTAGGCCAGGTCTTCCCTCTTTGTGCTCTCATGAATGTTGTAAATTCTGACTGGAAGCCCTTTTTATTACCTTGGGAAATATTTCATATTTGATTATAGTGTTTTAATGCATCAAAAGAGAATAAATGATGCATATAAATTGTAATACCCAGGCCAAAGCACAGTTTTCTGCTCTGTGCCACCAAAAACTCCTGGATATAGTCCTAGATTGGCAATTTTTACATTGTTTTGTCATGATTAACTATTTATCTGTGGCTTTTCCCATAATTGCCTTCAGATATTTACTCAAAGTAACATTTTTAATAAAACCTTCCTTGTCAACCTAGTTTAAATTTGGCATCATCTCCCTCACACTCCCTATTTTCATCTTCTTTATTTCTATATATCATTTATATACTGTTTTACCAAATATGCATAATCTTTACTTTTAAAAAAGTCCACAGCCTTTTGAGCCTGACTTCTTTCACTTAGCATAATGCATTTAAAATTCATTTACATGGTTTTGTGAATCAGTAGTGCATTTATTTTTACCAACGAGCAACATTTTATTACCTGGTATGCCCTATTTTTGTCCATTGAAAAGTTGAAGCATTTTTGGTATATTTTCTGATTTGGGAGATTATGTAAAAAGCTGCCATAAACATTTGTAAATAGTCATTTAAAAGAGATGTATTTTCACTTTGGGGTAAAAACAGGAGTGTGGTTACTGGAACACATGCAGAGAATATTATTTTAAAACTGACAAGTGGTTGGTTTAATTACCTGTGTCATTTTGCTTTCTCACCAGCAATTTATGAGATTGAAAGTTGCTCTGCACCCTCTCTAGAACTTGGTATTGTCAACTGAATAATGATAATGATGAGAATGTCTTTATTTTGAACATTCTAATAGGTATATAGTGCAATCTCATTGTAGTTTTTGTATACCTTTCCCTTATCACTAATCATGCTGAACACTTTTGCAAATCCTAATTTTCTTTTTATATATATTTTCCGGTAAAAAGTCTGTTTAAATAATTTCACCATTTGTATTGCCTTTGTTAAGGTCAGGTAGTTTATATGTTTACTATTGAGTTTTAAGATTTTTAATCTGAAAATAGGTTATTTATTATATATATAAAATATGAAACATTTTCTTCCAATATGAAGCTTATCTTTTATTTTGTTAATGATGTTTTATAGAGAGCAGAAGTCCTTAGTCAACTTATAATTTTTTTCACTTTAAAGATCTTTAATCTTTTTGACTTTTAGCTCAAGATCATGTTACTAATCTTAGTTTCCTTTCCAGGTGTTTTATAATTTGAACGTTTATATGATGGCCTATATTCATTTTGATTTATTTTTTGTATATTAGCATGATATGAAGTTTTGGTCACTCTTCCCTTTCTTCCTCTATTTTTCTCTTTTTCTTTTGTTTTGCATATAGATTTTTTTCATACTACAGCATAATTTTCTGACAATTTTTTTCTTTCTAAACTGTTTTTGTATACTTGTCAAATCAACCGGTCATGTATTAGTGTGTTTACATTTGGACTCTCAAACTGCGTTATTATTTGTGCTTATTCTTTCATCAGTAACATACTGTCATAATCATTGTAGGTTCACAGTAAATCTTGATATCAGGTGATATACTCCTAAAACTTTGATCTTGTTTTACGAAATTGTTTTAGCTCTTCTAGGTCTTTTGTTTTCCATAGAAATTTTAGAATCTGATATTGATAACTACAAAAAAATCTCCTGACTTTTATTACGGAATCAAAATCTATATGTATATAAGTTTGTAGGGAATTGCTATCAATAAAATTAAATATTCTGAAGCATAAACATAGTTTTGTATATTGACTTTGTATTCTTCAAGCTTGCTATACTCATATTTTCATTCCAGTAGACATTGTATAGTTTCTTTCATGTTTTCTATATAGAAAACATGAGTCTGTGAATAGAGACGGTTCTGCTTATTCATGGTAGATCTGTACGATTTTAGTGATTATATTTCCTTATTGTACTAGCTAGGACATTTGTTGATGTGTACAGATGTGGTAAGAGTCATATCCTTGTCTTGTTTATACTTTGAAAAAGCATTTAATCTATCAGCATTATATAAAATCTTTTCGTACGTTTTCAGTAAATGCTTTTTATCAGATTGTGAGAGTTTCTTCTAGCCTTACTTTCCTTAGAGTTTTTTTTTTATCAATGAATGTTGAATTTAGTCAAATAATTTTTTTCTGTATTAAATGATATTATTTGGTTTTTCTTTATTAGTATTTAAAATCATTTTCATTAAATATCTGAACATTATTATCAACCAGTTTGACCCGATTGGTGTTCCTTGAACACTACAGCAATCTTAGTGTAAACATTATTTTCAGACAATATGGTATGCTCATTAAGATATACCACGTCTTAAGATGTAAAATTATTCTGAATTGTTATGAGATATTTTTCTATATATTTTTCTTATAACCCAAAAGCACTGATAGCCCTTTGTTCTAGGTAATCTTTTCAAGGATATTTATATAGTGAATAGCAGTGGAAGACAGAATGTGACTCAAAAGCAAAGGACAAGAATTCTTACTAGCCATTATAAAAGATATGAGTTCCCTAGATTGAGGTAGCTCACTCGTAGTTTCTTGGGAAGTCATCTATCTTGGATCATCCACATCACCACCACCACCATCCCATCCCTTCTGTGGGACTTAGACCAAGAATTGGTGTGATATGATGCTGTACTTGCGGCTTGCTGTACTGTGAGTTAGTAGTCTCTTGTCTCTGAACCAGAGGTTGTATATCTTATACTAGTAAGCATGAAGCTAACTTGTTAGCATACAAGTGGAGTAAAATCCATTCACAACAGTTCTTGACAATTTTGTCAATGAGGATGGAAAGTTGACAGATAAATGACTTAATGGAAGAGGATAGGTGAGGGTCTTTGGAAGAACTGATAGGATTTGAGGTAAGTCCATAAATGCAGAAAACATGGTGAGCAAATTGTATGGTCAATTGTGTAATAATAAGCAGCCCTCTACTTTATTGACTATTAATTATAAGGAAGTGGGAGGTAATTATAGGCCAAATACCAGAAAGCAGTTTTTTCAACAAATGTCCTCTTTCTGTTAACTCTCCTCTGGCAGGAAAAAAAGGTCCTCCTCACTAATTTGATGGTCATCTTCAAATCTTCCCCATAATACATACTGAGTACTCAGAAGGTCCAAAGCCCTTTCAAAAAACATTTATAGAGTTGTGTACCTACATCGAACATGCCGTAACGGAAATTTGTGACCACTATGTACAGAAATAAGGTGAATTAGAACTTTGTTTCTATTGGAAAATAAGAGGTAGAGAGCACAAGATTTGTTAAGAATAAATAATTAGAGCTGGGCTGTCTTGCAACTCAGTCCCATTCCGCAGTCTATCATGACAACTTCAGATCTACTCAGAGAAAAAATTAAGTCTTCAGTCTCAGAGTTTGTTTCTTTGTTTGTTTTCCTGCAATGGCCCTTGCTGCTCTAAGGGAGATTTGGCTCCATCAGGAAGATTTTCTTGAAATAGACAAACTCCCATCACAAACCATAGATGAGGCATTGATAATATTCATGTTGAGTTTAAAATACTGAGAAACTGATTCAAATAAATCTTGATAAATTTGCAATCATCCTCATTTTCATTGAAAACCCCTATAGCCCTTAGGTTAAACTGTGGTAAAAGCCTAAGATAAATTTTCATTACAATGAGGCAAAAATATGCTTCCATTTAAAGTAGATTCCCTAAGAAATGTCACTACTGTGCAAGACTCCTGAGTTAGTTAAAGGGTACAAACCCTACAGTTTCATGCAGAAAACAGTATGACTGTGACTGTGGAGTCAAGGGGTCTCCAAAGCTAAAATAGATGATATCAGTAATGATAATCTTGCCACTGGCTGACTTTGAGAAGATTGAATACAGTAAAAAAAAGTTTTTGTTGACCTGAAAGTAGCTGCTGAACTGATTGAGAAATAAAGTAAATGAGACTTGCTTAATGACATGAAACTGATTCTTCTTTTATGTACCCTGATGACTCACTCCCTCTTTTCCCTAACTATAGCTGCTGTAAAGAAAAAGACAATTAGGAATGAAGATGACATCTTTCTGTCTTCATGAGTGATCTAGAGTCATATGAAACTGTTAAAATATTCTGGGGAATTTCTGAGAAGGGATAAATTCAAACTTTTAATTTCTTTTGGATATAAACACACAAGCCACCATTTTACTAGGTTCCATGAGGAATAGGGTACCTAGATTGAGCTAATGAGGTTTGATCAACATTCACAGAAGCTAAAATACCTTGTGGTAGGGCACTTGGTGTCAATTCAATGCACTGCTGATATTTCCACTTCTGAATGGGTAGGAGGAATTGGTGTTTTGTCCTTGTACCTCCCTGTCCCATAAATGCCAAAGGGGATTTCCTCATTTGAAAATAATTTGTACAGACAGAACTGTTAATAGAACATGAATAACTAAAATCCTTGTTGTTTGCCATGAGGGAGTGTGTTAGGACTTAACACGAGTGCTTCTGCCTGTTGACATGCAAAGTGTTTACTATAGGAATACTATTCACTGGGTTAGCAATTAAGAAGTTTCAGTCTCAGTGGAACTGGCTGCAGTGTTAACATAGCTGCACTAGAAAGAATGGTTGATAAACCCCAGCCAAATTCAGATGACTACTAACCAAGTAAAATTTCTTGGCATTATATGGGCAGATTCATAATACCCAATCTTTTCAGTAGTCAACAAAAGTATTGCAGTGTTTTTGCCTCCACCACCAAAAAGGAGACCCAGAATCTTATTGGGCTCTGTGTATTGAAGACAGTGTGTGCCTCATTTGAGCATTTTATTTAATCATTTATATTAGCTAAATTACTTATCAGAATTCTTTGAGTGAAGTCCAAACCAACAGGTGTTGTGGGAAGTCAGGGACCCCGAATGGAGGAAACGGCCAGAACTGCAGCAGAAGAACATAAATTGTGAAGATTTCATGGACATTTATCAGTTCCCCAAATTAATACTTTTATAATTTCTTACACCTGTCTTTACTGCAGTCTCTGAACATAAATTGTGAAGATTTCATGGACATTTATCACACCCTAATAATACTCTTATAATTTCTTATGCCTGTCTTTACTTTAATCTCTTAATCCCATTATCTTCATAAGCTGAGAATGTATGTCACCTCAGGACCACTGTTGTACAAATTGATTGTAAAACATGTGTGTTTGAACGGTATGAAATCAGTGCACCTTGAAAAAGAACAGAATAACAGTGATTTTCAGGGAACATGGGAATATAACCATAAGGTATGACTTCCTGCGGGGTTGGGCAGAATACAGCCATATTTTTCTTCTTGCAGAGAGCCTATAAATGGACGTGCAAGTAAGAGAGATATCGCTGAATTCCTTTCCCAGCAAGGAATACCCTGGGGAAGGAAGACATTCCTTGGGGGAGGTCTATAAAAGGCCGCTCTGGGAGTGTCTGTCTTATGCAGTTGAGATAAAGACTGAAATACGCCCTGGTCTCCTGTAGTACCCTCAGGCTTACTAGGATTGAGAAATTCCAGCCTGGTAAATTTTTGTCGGACCAGTTCTCTGCTCTCGAATCCTGTTTCCTGTTAAGATGTTTATCAAGACAATGCATGCACAGCGGGACATAGACCCTCATCAGCAATTTTAATTTTGCCCTTTGCCTTGTGATCTTTATTGCCCTTTGAAGCATATGGTTTTTGTGACCTATTCCCTGTTTGTACACCCCCTCCCCTTTTAAAATCCCTAATAAAAACTTGCTGGTTTTGCAGCTCAGAGGGACATCACAAACCTACCAATATGTGATGACACTCCTGGAGGCCCAGCTGTAAAATTCCTGTCTTTGTACTCTTTATTTCTCAGACTGGCTGACACTTAGGGAAAATAGAAAGAACCTACATTGAAATAGTGGGGGTGCTGGTTCTCCTGATAAACAGGCTATTTTAGAAGCTGCTAAACGAGCTGTGGTATACTTTCTAAGTTTGGGTCCCCTGATAGCAGTATCCCCTTAAAGCCCAAATCTCTGTAACTGATGATTTTGTGGGCTGTGCCCTTTAGCAAAGGAAGGAAACCTTCAACCAGTGGTATCCCTTATCTAAGGCAAGTGTAAGTGCTAATGCTTTATTAGTAGCTTCAATCTTAGGACAGTGAAAATGAAAGGCCTAGAAGACAGAACATCACTAAATGGATTATTGCTTCAGCATAGACATAATCAATTATTTATCCACATAAGATATCACTATGCCTCATAGTAAACCATTAGGGAATGAATGGAAGGGCAAGTTTATTTGTATTTACCTCCCACATTCTCTTCTTCACTGGTTAAACTTTAAGCCTTTTAAATTCCAATTTACATCACCTCATTCTTTAAACTCTCCCTATGGGAGCCAGATACCATGACCTGTGACCTGGTGCATTACTGAAAGTGGGAGAAAGAGCCAGCCACCACTCTAGAGGTGAAAAAACATGAACATGAGCATTAGCAAGAATCTGTCTCTTACGAGGTGGCTGATGAGGAACAAGGCAACCATGTGAGGCTGAGATGGAAGGCACTACATTAGTGGTGTCTGATACACAGGCCATTGCAATTCTTTTATTTCTTTATATGAGTCGTGAGCGTACATAAGGGGTAGTGCTATAAATGGATATTTAAAAATCAGCAGTTATTTGAAGTCTCTTTTATTACTTAAATTTCAGAACTGTATGTATTATTACCTTTTTCATTTACTGACGTCACTTAAAGTTTCTTGAAATAACATTTCCTACTATATTAGAGAAGTAGAATGAGGAAAAATCATCTTTCTTAAAAAAAGGCAATCTTGTATAAAATAATGTATTATATTTTGTTGGTCTAGGCACTATGAATTATATTAGATCATATAATTTGACTGCTAGGGAGAATGTAAGACCAATGTTGAATAGCGGGAGGACATTTCTACAGTTTATTTTTTTTCTCCAGATATGACAAACTAATTTGATACACTGGTCAGAATTATGTTTAGGTTGACTGGTAGTATTTTACATGCTCATTATCTTTACTTACAGGCTAACTGCTGTACACAGTTTTCCTAAGTGTTGTTACACTTTTAAAAGAAATTATTCAATGATTCATCTGATTTAATGTGACAATTTTCTTTACTAAGCCTTAGTTGATGTTGTGTATGTATTTATAACTTTTAAAGTCACAGTTGGGAATATGTGTGCACAGAACAAAGCAAGTAATTTCTGTTTCCACTTCAAGAATTTGCATTGAGTGTACTTTGAATGACAGTAAGCATTAGGAATATATTTGTTTATCTGCTTGGGGAAGAGAAATAAGTAAGTCAAGCATTTACAATGTCAAACTCTTTCTTTGCAAGACAATATTCAACATTCTAATAATACTCTGAATGTTCATAATATAATGATTGAATTTGTGAAAAATGCTTAGTTTAAAAATTGATAATAAAAGTAAATGCAGAGTAATATCTTATTTTTAATTATCACTTTTATATCAAAATATTTAAAGAAAATTCTAACTTAAATTTTATTTATTTTCACCACTGCCATACTTTCTGTTTTCTCTTCTGAGCAACCAAAAAGAATTAACTTAATCATCTTGTCAAGTTTGTGCATTCCATGCTGTCAGTGATAATTTTTTCCTTGAACCATTATTAGTAATTTCAAGTAAAGTACTGTACTCTGAAAAAGCATCAATTCATGAGCAGCAAATTATACAAGGAGATTGCCTCTTAGTTACCCCATGTTGAATCAGCAGATTCGTTTGGTAACAAGATGGAGTCAAAATAGCAGCATTTTTCTTCACTTCATTCCTAACTGAAAAAAAATTGGCTTTTGGGCCAACTCAAATATTCGTCAGTCACTATTTCCATGGCAATTTATACAAGTAAAGACACAGTTTCTTTCTCCTCTTCACCTCCAAGTTTCTTTCTCCTTTTCTCCTCCCTCTCTTCTACAAAAACTGCCCAGGTACTTGTCTTTTGGTCTGCATGTCAACCAAGTCTTGGTACAAGTGGTTTATTAAATTCTAAAACTTTATTACACTTGGTAAGGAATTCACAGTTCATTTTCAAGGAGACAGATGAGAGAGGCTGCTTTCTTCTTGGTGAATGTACCAACTTAGACAATACTTACTGTAACAAGCTACACTCTTAACTCACACCTGTTCTTCCTCTAGCTCCTACATACACACTAACCCTCATACTTTCTGAAAATTCCCTATACCCATTTTCTTACTTATAAAGTCAGAGATAATTTTTAATAAACAGAGATATTTACATCTATACTCTATAGACAGATATATACTTGATATCACTGAAATAACATTTATAGTTTTCAACATTTCTTTGATTTGAGAATTCTCATTAGGTTCAGTCATCCCACTAATATTTTTTTTCAGTTCTTACACAAATCTTGCTAGAAATGAATTTGTATGCTTTTCTTTTTACCACATTACAATAATTTTCTTCTCACTGTTTATAACTTGCAGACAATTATCTACACATGCAACTCAAGCATATCATGCAATACAACTTTACGCAATGGCAAAAATGTACAGTATGGTACCCACTAGCCCCAAGGAACTATTGAAAACTTGAAATGGGCTAATTTTAAGCAATTTATTTGTAACTATGAATAGCTACATATGCCTACTATACTGAGCAGCACAGTTTTAGAAAGCAAACTCTATTCTCAAAAGCACCGCTTAAAAATACAGCCCTTACATCAAACAAAGTGCAGTTTAGTCCACAGTTTAACTCAGTTATCTATAATATCCATATTTCATTTCTTGCTATGTAGGAATCTTAGATGAATTACTGTTTTCAAAGTCTTCACATATTAGCATATTTTACCATAAACAAGTGAAAACATTGTATTCATTTTTCTAAGTAAAATTTCTTCAAATAAAAATTCTAACATTTTAAGAGAAAAATCAGGGAGACATTTGAAAACATCTATTCTAATTTTGTATACTTCAATGATTCCACCGTCTCTTTTGTCTTCTTTTTAAAAAATAAATGAGAACTATATTAGCTCACATGACTATAGAGCAACAATGTGATTTATTTATCGAGGCATAAGGCCTTTTACTTAGTACTCTTTAGGCTAAACATATTCAGTGCTAAACAGTAACTGTAAGGGGAAGGTTCTTTGGAATAAACGTGTAAAAATAAATCAAAACAAAATAAGTTTAATTTTTTTTATTTTTTTCTCACCAACAAAGCAAAGGAAAAGTGTATGGCTTGTTTTAGAAAGGAGTTAACAAATATTTTAAGAATGTTTCACATTATATTGCTAACATCATCTTGAATAGCAAAGATCATTTGTAATCAATGTTTTCATTTAAGACCTTTCTAAGTACCATACCTGAACTGTCTTTTTAGAACTGAGCTTGGGGTATTACTTGCAAATATAACAACCATGTTGGAAAAGTCTATGAAATCATAATGAGCATGAACTCTAAGTGAATTAATAGACTCTTAGTTTATTTATAATTTCACAAGGAAAAAATATTTTATACTGCAGTATATAGATCTTTTAAAATAACTTTTAATGTTTTAGATTGTAGAAAAAAATGACAGTAATAATAAAAAACTGTATTCTCACAATCAATGAGTAATAGGCATAAAATCTTGACACTTCTGTTTTAGAGATTTAAATGACAAAATATATATTACAGAAAAAGTTGAAGTTTCTTTTGTTTTCTACACTATATTTTCAATCTTCTTCGCAGTTTTATAACACATACAATTCACTGACTCCTCATATCCCAGACACATGTAGCTGCAATAATTCTGTTATTTAGTCAGGGTTCATTTGGAAAGAACAGAATCTGCTCTGGCTTAGATATACCAATGAGTTTTATTAGAGAGTTTCAAATTGCTTAAAGATTCATTGAATGGGATGCAGAAATAGATGCTTATTGAATGCTTATTGAATGGGCAAACACTGGAACCATTCCCCCTGAGAACTGGAACAAGGTACAGATGCCCATTCTCACCACTCCCCCTGAGAACTGGAACAAGGTACAGATGCCCTTTCTCACCACTCCTTTTCACTGTATCACTGGAAGTCCTAGCCAAAGCGTTCAAGCAAGATAAATACATAAAAGGCATCCAAATAAGAAAATAAGTCTAATTATCTGTCTTCACTGACTATATGATTTTGTACCTAGAAAACCCTAAAGACTGCCAAAAGGCTACTAGAACTAATAGAGGATATTAGCAAGGTTTTAGGATACAAAACGAATGTAAAAAAAAATCAGTAACATTTCTCTATGTCAATAATGTCTTGGCTGAGACTCAAATAAGGAACACAGTCCCACTTACAATAGCCACAAATAAAATAAAATGGGGAATAGAGTTAATCAAGAAGGCGAAAGAGCTCTGCAAGGAGAACTACAAAACACTGCTGAAAGAAATCAGATATGACACAAACAAATGGAAAAACACCCCATGCTCATGGATGGGAAGAATCGATAATGTTAAAGTGGCCATACTGCCCAAAGCAATTTACAGATTCAATGTTATTTCTCTCAAACTACCAATGTCATTCTTCACATAATTAGAATAAGCTATTCTAAAATCAAATGGAACCAAGAAAGAGCCCAAGTAGAAAAAGCAATCCTAAGCCAAAAGAGCAAAGCCAGAGGCATCACTCTACCTGACTTCAAGCTATACTATAAGGCTATAATAACCAAAAGAGCATGGTACTGGTACAGAAACAGACATACAGACAAGTGGAAGAGAATAGAAATTTCAGAAATAAAGCTTCACATTTATAACCATCTGATCTTCAACAAGGCTGACAAAAACAAGCAATGGGGGAAAGGACTTCCTATTCTACATGGTGCTGGGTTAATGGGGTAGCTATATGCAAAAAAATGAAACTGGACCCTTACGTTTCACTATTCAGAAAAATTGATTCAGGATGGATTAAAGATTTAAACATAAGACCTCAAAGTATAAAAACTCTAGAAGCAAACCTAGGAAATACCCTTCCTGGCATCAGCTTTGGCAAATAATTTTTGTCTAAGTCCCCAAAAGCAATTGCGACAAAAACACAAATTGAAAAGTGGGACCTAATTCAATTAAATAGCTTCTTCAGAACAAAATAAATTATCAATAAACAGACCATCTACAGAATGAGAGAAAATATTTACAAACTATGCATCTGACAAAGGTCTAATATCTGGAATCTACAAGGAACTTACACATACAAAGAAAAACCTCATTAAAAACCCATGTGGCAAAGGACATGAACAGATGTCTCTTAAAAGAAGACATTCAACAAACAATGGCCAAGAAACAATGAACATATATACAACAAACAAAGGCCAACAAACAATGAAAAATGCTCATCATTACTAATCATCAGAGAATTGCAAATCAAAACCACCATGAAATACCATCTCACACCAGTCAGAATGACTATTATTAAAAAGTTAAAGAGCAACAGATGCTGGTGAGACTGTGGAGAAAAGGAAACACTTATAGACTGTTGGTGGGAATGTAAATTAGTTCAGCCACTGTGGAAAGCACTTTGGTGACTTCTCAAAGAATTTCAAACAGAGCTACCATTCGACCCAGCAATCCCATTATGGGCTATATCCAAAGGAAAAAAAAATAGATCATTATACTAAAAAAAACAAATGTACTTGTAAGTTCATTGCTACGCTATTCACAACAGTAATGACAAGGAATCGACTTAGGTGCCCATCAGTGATGGATTGGATAAAGAAAATGTGGTATGTATACAACATGGAATACTATGCACCCATAAAAAATGAAATCATGTCCTTTACATCAATATGGAGGTAGCTGAAGGCTATGATAATAATTAACACAGGAACAGAACATCAAATACCACATATTCTCACTTATAAGTGGGACCTAAACATGGAGCACCCAGGGTCATCAACATGGGAACAACAGACACTGTAAATTACCAGATGAGGGAGGTAGGGAGGGGGGAATGGATCAAAATCTATGCATTGGGTACTATGTTCACTACCTGAGTGCAGCATACCTATGTATCAAACCTGAGCATGTGCCTTCTATATTAGAATAAAAATTGAAAAAAATAAAACAGAAATAGATACTTGCCTTAGTCCCCAAACAAGCTTCTCCAAAATTTGGTCTTACAATTAGGTTATACTATAAAATTAGGTCACTGAAGGAGATACTGATTCTTCCTTCCATAATCAGGAAGGATTAAAAACAAAATGAAACAACCCCCCCCCAACCCGTGAAAAAACAAAACAAACCCAAAGCAAAACTATGGCTACATTTGAGAACATCAGAGGCCATGCCCCTCTTCTGCCATACTGTCCTTCTTATTTCACTTTGTTCAGAATACAGTTCTAACCCAAGAGATTAAAGGAAGCTAAATTATCATCAGGATTCTAGGAGTAAGACAGTATAGAAAATAAAGTGTTCTGTTTCCCAACAGTGACAGGAGAGTAAGGAAGAGTAGCATAGTCATGGAGTGAGGTACTCAACAGCATCATCACAAAATACACACTGGCTCTACTCAAAATCTATTAAGAGTCTTCCTCCTATTCTTGACTTCTGAGAACGATATCCACAAAAATAATATATGTATTCTTATATTTTTGTTTTAGCTGATTTTTTCTTATGTGTTTACTGATTTATAAATTATTAAATGTGCTAAGTACATTATTTTATTTAATTTTCATATCAACCAGGAAGTAGGTATGATTATTATTCTGTTTGATAGAAAATATCTTAGATGTTTAGAGAGGTTAAATAAGATTTCAAAGATTACCAAACTAGTAAGTGATGTCTGGTGGTGTCTAATTCCAAAACTTCCTAGCCAATATGTATACTGCATTAAATAGTTCATGATGCATATTTTCATATACAACTGTGTTAAAATTAAAGACCTATAATAAACATCATTATACATTATTATAAAATACTATATTTAAGTTTTTGAATAAGAAAATAAGCAATAATAAAATAATATAAAATAACCAGAAAATAAAAAGAAATCCTTGTCTACAAACGAAACAACTATAGTATATAAAAACAAATTTATATTATAGCAATTATATGTTAGAAACAGAAATAGAAAGTACCTTGTTAAATTAGAAAAAAAAGAGTACATGGTACATAAAAAATTTACAGGAAAGAAAAGTAATTGTATGATTCAAACTGTAAGGTCTTATTGAAAGGCCTCAAGGGAGATTTTAGGAGGAAATATTCTTAGAATACCAGACTTACCATCATAAACAGTTACTGTAATTAGTGCAACTCTAATCAGAATCTATAGTAGTTAAAAAGCAATAGCTGAAAGTAAGAATGTTAACTTTCTAAAGAAAAAACAAAAGCAGCCAGTTAAATAAAAGCCAAATGCATTTAAAATTTTAAGAAGGGATATATCTCATGAGCGTATAAAAAATAGCTATAAACATTCTCTATTCAAATACTATGATATTGACACAAAAAATTGATTATTATAATAAAAAATGCAAGAATGTTTCTAACTATGTATAGGAAGCTGTTCCATGACAAATATGTCATTTTATTTTAATTACAAGAGACTAAAACTTCCACTGTCCTTATTTACATTTGTATCTATATACAGCTGGGATAAAATAAAGGTGGTATACTACATCATACTATATAAAAATAATGTAGAGAAATAATAGAATATGGGACTATAAAAATAACACAGTAAGCAAAATAAAATCTGGAAATTATTAATAAAAATTTGGTTTAGTTGACTATAAAAATGCAAACAGCTTTGTTAAAGTATAATTGACATGCAACAAATTGTACATATTAAATGTATAAAATTTGGTAAGTTTTGACATATGTATGCATCTGTTGAAATTATCACCACAATCAAGGTCATACTCATCCATTATCCTGAACAATTTTCTTATACGCCTTTGTAATTCCATTCTCTTGCCCTTCTGCTTCCCAGGTAATTACTAACTCCTTTCTGTCATCAAATATTAGTTTATGTCTCCCAGACTGGCACATAAATTGAACTATACGCATGCATTTTTTTTTTTTTGCCTGTCTTTCTGCACTCAGGATAGTTATTTTGAGATTAATCTATATTGCTGCCTATATCAATAATTCATTCCTCTTCATTATTGAGTCTCATTGTATGGATATATCACAAGTTGTTTATTCACTCACTTGTTGATAAACATAGGGTTGTTTCCAATCTTAATCATTTTAAATTTTTCTTGTCATGGAATATCCTGGCAAGTAAAGAAACTGAACTGTAAATGTCTCTACAGCATAGAGCTTCAAGTCTCACTTGCAAATTTGGCTGCCTAGTGGAAAAAATCTATAGATTAATCAGGAATTCAAAATGAATTTATAGACAAGTTTTAACTTAATTTTACAAGGAAACATTTATTTTTACCAAATATAAGTTCGTGTTGTAATATATATATTTTAAAAATTGTTTTACATGTTTTACAGTGTACAAAAATATAAAAAACACCTATATTTCCACAACCAATAATTAACAAACATAGTTTTTGTGTGTGTTTCAGATACTTTATTAACAAAACAAAAGAAATATAGGTAGCATTTTTATATGCCAACACTGAACAACCTGGAAAAGAAATTTTAAAAGTAATTCCATTTACAATAACTACAAATGAAATAAAGTGCCTAGGGATAAACCTAACCAAAGAAATGAAAAATCTCTACCTTGAAAACTGTAAAACAATGATAAAAATATTGAAGAGGACACACAAAAAGGAAAGTCTTCATAGACTGGAATAATCAATATTGTTAAAATGTCTGTTCTTCCCAGAACAATCTTCAGATTAAATACAAACTCTATCAAAATACCAATGACATTCTTCACAGAAATGGATGAAACAATCCTAAAATTCACATAGAACTGCAAAAGATCCAGAAGAGACAAAGAAATACGAGTCAAAAGAACAAAGCTGTAGGCATTACATCTGACTTCGAATTGTACTACAAAGTTACAGTCACCAAAACAGCATGATATTGGTATAAAGCAGACACATAATCTAATGGAATGGAATAGAGAACCCAGAAATAAATCCAGCTTTTACTCTGAATTCATTTTGGACAAAGATGCCTAAAACTTACATTGGGAAGAGGACAGTCTCTTCAATAAATGGTGCTGGGAAAACTGAATATCTATATGCAGAAGAACAAAACTAGACCCTTATTTCTCATTATATATAAAAATCAAATGAAAAAGAATTAAAGACTTAAAGCTAAGACCTGAAACTATAAAGCCATTAGAAGAAAGCATGGGGGAAACATTCCAGGATATTGGTCTAAGCAAAAATTTATGAAGACCTCAAAGCACAAGTGACCAAAGCAAAAATAAACAAATGGAATCAACTCAAGTTTAAAAGCTTCTGCACAACAAAGAAAATAATAAACAAAGTGAGGAAATAACCCACAGAATGAGAGAAAATATTTTCAAACTACTCAGCTGATGAGGGATTAATCACCAAAATATATAAGGAACTCAAACAACTGAATAGAAAAAAAAATCTGATTTAAAAATGGGTGAAGGATCTGAGTAGACATTATTCAAAAGAAGACATACAAGTGGCCTACAGGTATATGAAAAATGCTCAACATCACCAATCATCAGATAAATGAAAATTAAAACTGGAATAAGATATCATCTCACCCCAGTTAAAATGGCTTTTATCCAAAAGATAGGCAATAACAAACGCTGCTGAGAATGTGGAGAAAGGGGAACCGTCATATACTGTTGGTGGGAATGTAAATTAGTAGAGCCACTGTAGAGAACAATATGGAGGTTCCTCGAAAAACTAAAAATAGAACTACCATATGATACAACCATCCCAATGGTAGGTCTATATCCAAAAGAATGGAAAATAATTAAAGAGTGGAATTGGAATGTTCCTAACACAAAGAAAGGATAAATGCTTGAGGTAATGACTACCCTGATTACCCTGATTTGTTCAATTCACATTGTATTCTCGTATGAAAATATCACATGTACCCCATAAATATGTACAAATGTTATGTACAACTATTAATAATTAGAAATTTAAAAAGATTAAAAATAGACTTAAATGTATCTAAATATATATATATTTTTAAATACCAAAATCAAGGCAAAAGGCAAAAAATAGGTTGGAAGCTATATTAATAAGACATGTGATAAGAAAAATATTGAGATACATAATTGACAGATTACTACAAAGACAGGAAAAATAATTTTTTGAGTATTTCAGACTTTCAGTTTTGTCACATTAAGTCTGCATTACTTTTCTACATTAAACAATTCCAAAATTTTCTTTTCATCTTTCACTTCCACTTCATTTTTCTCTTTCTCTTCCCTTTTCCCTTTCTTTTTCTTTCCCTTAAATTCTCTTTAAGAACAATCCAATTCTAAAGCTATGATCTGCAGCAGAGCAGAAGTTGTTGCTGAATGCCTTCTATTCCTGTCTCCTCCTGCAGCAATGACTTAAACTGGAGTATAAAAGCCTAAGCTAGGTGAGCAGGTAATCAAGGGGAAAGCCCGGGAAGAGGGTTCAAATCCCAAATAAATGAAAAAAAAAACATGGACAAAACTGAGAAATTCCAAGTATGTGCAAAGTTTTTTGATGAATGGGATTTTTTCATAATTTAAAAGTATACCTTTTCCTGTAATATTTAATAATTATAGAAAAGAAAAAATAATTTTTACAATTGAAAAAACTGAAACATATCGAAGTTATCTAGTGAGTAAGAGGATAGATTGAAAGTGTATGCCACCTGGTAAGATATGAGAAGGACATAGAATCACTACTGTAATATTTTTGCTGAAGGTACTTGGCATGAATATAATCATGAAGAAACATCAGCTAAATGTAAATTAAGGAACAATCTGCAAAATAACCGGCCAGTAATTTTCAAACTCCAAGAAGTTTTAGACTAGAGTCAAAAACAAAAATGGCATCTAAATGCAATGACTATGAAAACAAAGACTGATAAGTGGGGCTTAATTAAACTAAATAACTTCTGTACAGCAAAAGAAAATACCAACAGAGGTAGACAGATAACCTACAGAATGAGAGAAAATATTTGCAAGCTATGCATCTGACAAAAGTCTAATACACAGAATCTATAAGGAACTTAAAAATTCAACAGCATAAACCAAATAACCTCGCTGAAAAGTGGGCAAAGAGCATGAACAGACAGTTCTCAAAAGAAGACATCCAAGTGGCAAACAAACATGAAAAAATGCTCAACATTGCTAATCATGAGAAGAGTGCAAATGAAAACCATGAAATACCATCTCATAACAGTCAGCATAGTAATTATTAAAAAGTCAAAAAATAGTAGATGCTGGTGAGGGTGGAGAAACGGGAACATTTATATGCTTTTGATGAGAAAGTAAATTAGTTTGGCCACCGTGGAAAACAGTTTACAGATTTCTCAAGGAACTGAAAACAGAACTACTGTTCAACTCAGCAATTCCATTACTGGTTATATATTCAAAACAAAATAAATCATTCTACCAAAAAGTACATGCACTTTTATGTTCATTGTAGCACTTTTCACAATAGCAAAGACATAGAACCAACCTAGTTGCCCACCAACAGTGGATTGGATAAAGAAAGTATGGTACATATACACCATGGAATATGACATGCCATAAAAAGAATGAAATTATGTCCTTTGCAGCAACATGGATGGAGCTGGAGGGCATTGTCCTAAGTGAATTAACACAAAAGTGGAAAACTAAATACCACATATTCTCACTTATAAGTGGGAACTAAACATTGGATACACATGGACATACAGAGGAAACACTAGACACTGGGGACTATTAGAAGGGGAAAATAAGAAGGGGAGCAAGGAATGAAAAAGTACCTATTTGGTACTGCACCCATTTCTTGGTGATAGGATCATTTGTACCCCAAACCTCAGCATCACACTATATACCCATGTAACAAACCTGCACATGTAGCCCTTAATCTATAAAAGTTGAAATTATTTTAAAAAATTAAATTGATAAAAAATGCTATGAATGATTCTGGATTGGATCATTTTGCAATAAAGGATATTATTGAAAGATTTCATGAAATTTAAATTGGGTCTGGGGATTACATGCTAGTAATGTATCAGTGTTAATTTTGATTGTTACATCAGTTGGTCTTTTTCCTTTGTTCCCTTTTATTTCTCTTTTTTAGGGAAATGCCCCTGTTTCTAGGAAAAACATCCTATTGTATTTGGAGATGATGAGGCAACAAGTCAGCTATTTACTCCTAGATAGCTTGAGAAAAAATATTCTTTATAGTGTACTTTTAAATTTCTGTAGGTTTGTGACAGCTTTATATTTTTTAAAGGAATATTTAAATAAAGAAAAATAGGAATGCTATTAGAATTATGATAGAATAGAAAAACAAACATAATAGAGTTAAATATAACATTTTAAATGTATTTTAATCAACTGTAAATATTAAACAATATGATTACCCTTTATAGCTATCTAAATGAATTGTTGAGGCAATTTAATGATTTATAATTATGTATATAAATAGTTCAAATAACAATCTGTTTATATATGTTTAAATTCATTACATAGTCAATGAGTTTCTCTCATATATCCTGAATAATCCTTAGTAATTTCTTCTCAATGAATAAGTTATGTCTACTGTAGTTAAACAAATACCTTAACCGTCATAAATTAATGCAGAACATGCACTTAATATTCACGCAAATTTCATTTCAGAGAAAAATGCACTGATAGATTAAAAGTGTTCCAGGCAAGAAAAGTAATTTCAAAATCTCTTATTATTGCTATGTTAAATACAACTACTTCCTTCAGTCTGTAGCATTATGCCTATTCTTTAGGGAACTTCTATAAATAAATTTTAAAGAAACAACATGTCAGGCAAATGTTAAGGATATAGAACTTTTCGGTGATTTTTACACTAAGTTAGAGGGAATAGATTTGGATTAAAGTTGTGAGTACCTGGACAAATTGTCTCTGATATATATTTTTTTTAATTCTTAACCTCATTCCAAGATCGTAAATAAATGTAATATGTATCTTTCCTCCACATGGTGTATTCTTATTGTCTTCTGATGTGAATTTTTTAACTTCTTTGAGGACAGAAGGAGTTTTCCTTGAAGATTTAGGGCACAGATACTGTCACTTAACTTGAAAATAATTCAATATTTGGACAAGAAAATGAAGACTAAGGGAAAAAGTTTCCAACCCAAAGTTGGAGGAAACTCTTGTCTGTGAGCCTCATGGAGTGAAGTTCAAATTTTTTGACAGAGACAGTCTTGTTGTTACTTTCAATTTCAGGAGAAATGTTCTACACCATACAACATCTCTCTGACTAGGCAAGGCCACACCTGTCCAGGCTCTGTGAAGGTGCAGTAGGGCCTAATAGCTGCAAGAGTAGCCACAGGTAGTAGGACTTGTACTTCCTCTGCATCATCTCTGAAATTTTAACAATATCCTATTTCCAGTTACAATTTCATCTCATCAATTGCTCTAGTGAAATGAGAATAGAGTCTATATAGTTTAAATGAAACTTCTACATGGAAAGCAGTAGCATCCTAGGAAACGGCACGTATCCAAAAGCTGAAGGAGGTTACCAACACCAAGAATTGATTAGGGATAACGCTGATTACTGGGAAACTGGAAACAAACAGTTAGCCACTATGACACATAACAGGTAGAATAGACTTGCGGATCAAATAAAATTCTCTAGACATTCTCATATATATTTATGTTAGGATCCTGATGAAATACTGGACTTTTTGTTAGAAGAAGATGGATCCTTGGTGCCTTATATTTGTGGTATTCATGAGAATAAGATTTCACAAGCTTGTGATGACTGGTAATCTCCAGGTAAAATTTTAAAAGGAGGAGATAGTTATAAATGCGTATTGAAATCAGTGCATTCAATACACTGGAGGTGAAGTTCTGAAAATAAAATGTGTCATCCCCCAAAAAAGAAAATACCAAAGCATGTCATACAATGGTCAGGGTGAGGGGAATATTAAATTTTACATTGGAATTTGTCTTCATTCAGGACTCCATTGCAGTGACTAAATATTCTAGTGAGTAAAGTAACACTTCTCCTCTTGCACTGCTATCTTATATAAGATGAGATACTTGAAGAAGTGTTGCTCCAAGGGCCCTGGAATTATCCATTGTTGTAGTACGATATTCCCAAATGTAGAATCAATGAATAAAATTAAATGACCTTCATCATTAAAAATAGTCACTCACTTTAAATTATAAAACTTAAGGAAAATTATACATATTTAGTGCAGTCCTGCAGACATTCTATATATACTAGCTGAGATAAGTCTTTTCAAGACCACTCTCTTGAAAAAATAATTTTTACACAGAATTTCACACTTAAATTTTTTTAAAGAAAGTGTTTATTGTAAACATGCTCTTTTCTATGGGTCATAGCAATTTTTTTTCTAGAATTACTTTTAGCATTCCCTAGTGGTTCTGGCATAGTGTAGAGTCAATTCCAAGTTTTTTCACCTGTTAAGTGGCTACAATAATTAATGCAGATCCAACTCACAGCATAAATTAGCTGTTGGTGAGTCAAGATTATTAGTAGTTATATTGATCCTCAGCCTTCCTTTTAGAAAATGACAGTGCTGCTAGCAGTGAATAAAGATGGAAGTGAAAAATCAGCAGTCATAGTACAGGCTTACTGATTATATCATATTTTGACAAGGTCAATAAATATAGAAGGAGCATATTGATTTTGCTCCCTAATTTCCTCTTGTGCCTTCCAATGAGGAAGGTCATATCCAATGTACTATGTCACACCCTAACCTGTGACACTGTAACATCCTGAAATACAGACTTGACATGCTACACTACAGTTAGTTACAGAGAGGTCTGGTCAGGGTACTATTGCCACAGTACTTGTGTAGAATAATGTGAACACTATTATGGTCAGCCTTTTAGATTCTGTTGTTGAAACTGTTAAAAAAATACATCTCTATCATGTTCATATTTGCTATACATTCATATTGGGGGAACCAACCCCCAATATTTCAATGTAGGTTCTTTTCTATTTTCCCTAAGTGTTGGCCAGTCTGAGAAATAAAGAGAAAGAGTACAAAAGAGAGAAATTTTAAAGCTGGGTGTCTGGGGGAGACATCACATGTCGGCAGGTTCTGTGATGCCCCCTGAGCCGCAAAACCAGCAACTTTTTATCAGCGATTTTCACAGGGGAGGGAGTGTACAAATAGGGTGTGGTTCACAGAGGTCACGTGCTTCAAAGGCAATAAAATATCACAAGGCAAATGGGCAGGGCAAGGTCACAGGCCAGGGCGAAACTAGAATTGCTGATGAAATTTCATTTCCCACTGTGCAGGCACTGTCATTGATAAACATCTTATCAGGGTTCAAGAAAAGAGAACCGGTCTGACTAGAATTCGCCAGGCTGGAATTTCCTAATTCTTGCAAGCCTGGGGGCACTGCAGGAGGCCAGGGCATGTTTCATCCCTTATCTGCAACTGCATAAGGAAGACACCCCTAGAGAGGCCATTTTAGAGACCTCCTCCTGGGAATGCATTCTTTTCCCAGGGCTGTTAATTATTCATATTCCTTACTGGGGAAAGAATTCAGCAATATTTCTCTTACCTGTTTTCGGCAACAAGAGAAATATGGCCCCGTCCTGCCCGGCTCCCAGGCAGTCAGACCCAATGGTTATCTCCCTTGTTCCCTGAACATCGCTGTTATCCTGTTCTTTTTTCAAGGTGCCCAGATTTCATTTTGTTCAAACACACATGCTTTACTAACAATTTATGCAGTTAACGCAATCCTCACAGGGTCCTAAGGCAACATACATCCTCAGTTTACGAAGATGATGGGATTAAGAGATTAAAGACAGGCATAGGAAATTATAAGAGTATTGACTGGGGAAGTGATAAATATTCATGAAATCTTCACAATTTATGTTCAGAGATTGCAGTAAAGACAGGAGTAAGAAATTATAAAAGTATTAATTTGGAGAACTAACAAATGTCCATGAAATCTTCACAATTTTTGTTCTTCTGTCATGGTTTCAGCAGGTCCCTCCATTCAGGGTCCCTGACTTCCTGCAACACATTCAGAAGCCAAAAAAGGTTTGAAATAACCACTCACATAGTTGCATAAAATGGCAAATGTATGTTGTCTGTTTCACTCGTGTCCATCTGAACAGACTGCCAAACAGGCTTTGTGTGAGCAACAAGGCTGTTTATTTCACCTGGGTGCAGGTGGGCTGAGTCTGAAAAGAGAGTCAGCGAGGGGAGATAGGGGTGGGGCCATTTTATAGGATTTGGGTAGTAAAGGAGAATTACAGTGAAAGGGGGGTTGTTCTCTGGTGGGCAGGGGTGAAGGTCACAAGGTGCTCAGTGGGGGAGCTTTGGAGCCATGATGAGCCAGGAGAAGGAATTTCACAAGGTAATGTCATCAGTTAAGGCAGGAACAGGCCATTTTCACTTCTTTTGTGGTGGAAAGTCATCAGTTAAGGCAGGAACAGACCATCTGAATGTGTACCTGCAGGTCACAGGGGATATGATGGCTTAGCTTGGGCTCAGAGGCCTGACAGTCTGCTGATTCAAAGCTACCACAACAAATACTTTTTGAACACAAAAAAACAAAGTCAAATCCTATCTTGGAGTGGTGGATTGTTATACATTAGGTAGCAAACCTGCTCTCAAGGACATAAATGTTCTGCTATGCCTGTATAAATACATACCATTATGAGAGCAGAAGATACAGGTTTTCTTTGAGAGGCTAATTCAAGATATTAATGGCCTTTGGAATTTATGAGAGATTACAAACAAAAGAGGGCTCTTGTTTGTAAAGGAATATTTTCCCTAACCATTGGAAGCAACTGGAAGTTCAATAAAGAAGTCATCCCCAGGAAATTTCTCAAGAATTAACATGGGCAATAAACTTTAAATACAGTAATGCCTGGTTTAGAGTTTATGGTAATTTCCAAAACTTAAGAAAATGTATTTAATAAACATATAATTGACACCTTGGGCAAAAGAGATAGGTGTCATTTTCCATATTGAAAGAATAAAGCATGCTGGGGAAAAATGCAGTAAGAGGGAAAGTAAGTTATTAAGTAGTCAATAATAAATGGCAGAAAGGCACTGAATAGCAACATAAAAAGCAGTGACTCAGAGAAAAATGGTCTTTAAAAATCATTATTCAGAATTATTGGGGTGATCCTGGACTATTTGCTATCATACCAAATTTGTACGCAGAATGTTGTTTAGATGTTGACAGAAAGGGGGCCCCCATATGTCTTACTAAATTGTTGATTTTCAGTGCAGGCTTAGTCTTGATAACACTCCATTCATCTACGGAATCATGCACATATCATTCAATCCATGGAAAATGTCTATATAGACTCTCCTTTAAAATTCATGCCATATGTGAATGCTTATCACCACCTTCACCAAAAGCCCTCCCAATCTATCATCTACACCTGGACTATTGCAATATAGTAAATTCTCTTTACTTTCTTCTTATAACCCACTTTATTTCCCTTATGGCCTTCTATACACAACTAAAGTTTTAAAATAATAAATCAGATCATATTACTTACCCATCCCAAATAGTTTTATTCCTTTTTACCCTTAAAAAGTAATTCAAATAACCTAATTTGCAAGCCTCTAATTTCTGCCTAATGACTTATCACTCTGTCTGATATTGTCTCCACTCCAGTAATACAAAATTTCTTGTTATTTCTCAAAGGCACTTAGTAAGGTTTTTATGTTTGTGTTACTCTCTGCATTGTCTCTTCTCAGATTTTCCTGTGGATTTTACCTTTGTGTGGCCCAAAACTCTACTCAAATAGTATCTCACTGGAATAGATTTTCCATCATTCTCCTTACTTTTTAATTTTCTTACAGAGCACATATTATTGATTTTCTTTTTTACTTTTGTGGTAACTTTTTCATTTGTCTTTAAATTTTAAATTAAAAAAAAACTGAAAGAGAACTTCAAGGAATTCCTCAATGTCCTTACTCAGATTCACCATTTATATTTTGTCCATTTGCTTTTGCTTTGTTATTTTCTTTCTGTACCTATAACAAAAAAGGAATTACATGTTTATTACTTTCAAATCATTATCTGTATTTAAATTTTGGAAATTGTTATAATAATGTCTATTATTTTTTAAAATTCCTTCACAATTTAATTCTGAATCATCCACTTAATTATCTTGTCTCTTAATTCATTTTAAAGGCTGCCAAGTTTATCTGAAAAGGTCCTTTGTTGTTGTTGTTGACTGCTAATCTCAATGCTTAAAACAGGAGAGGCATCATAGAGCTGGAATTAAAAGCTCAGGCAATGGAGCCCTGGCTTGATTTTACCACCTCTCCACTGTGTACCTTATGGAAAGTGACATAAATTTATTCTGCCTCAATTTTCTCATTTCCAAAGGGAAAACAATAGTACTCACTTCTTAGGGCTGTTCTATGATAGAATGAGTTATTGTGTGTTAAATGTTATAAATATAGTCCCTGGCATATAGTAAGACTTACATATCATTGAATAAATGCAAAAGCAGATACTAGGCATTCAGCAAATATCTGTTGAATGAATAAGTTTGGTAATGTACTATATCAGTAGATTGCACAAAAATCTCAGTTGCTTACAATAAAATTTTAAAATGATGAGCCTGATCATTGTTGTAGAGGAAGGGGAAATTCTATACAGGCATTCAATGATCCAGGATAATAGAGGCTTTGGCATTGTCAATGCACACCTTTCTATTTACTCTAGATATCAACGTACCACCTGTATGTAAGGAAAGAGGGAAGAGAAATGAAGAATCTCATAGAAGGTTTTTATACACTAAGACTGTAATAAGAATAAATATATTTTATGCATTCTTCATTGGTCGGAGCTCAGTCATATGCAACACCTAGCCATAAAAGAAGATGGTGAATGTGGTCTAGTTATGAGTCCAGAAGCAACAGAAAATTATTGTGATGAACAACTATGCAGACCCCAACACCACAAATAATTTGATTAAAGAATTAACAAAGATTACAACTTGTATTTATTACATCATGTAAATACAGGATGGTAGAAACTTTGAATGTATATTGAAAATTACAGCAATTAAAGTAGCAGATTCCTGTAAGTAACTACAAATTATTTACTCCATAATGACAAAAAGCAGTGACTCAGTGCTAAGTAATCAAGGAGAACACAAAAGCTGAGGCAGTAAGGAGCAAATGGTAATATCTTTGCGAAATGGTGAGTGATACAATATAATTTGAGTCATAGGATAAATGAAAGCATTTATAAGGGAAGAAAGGTAGATAGATATATAGATAGATCTATATATACCACATTGTGTCCAAAGTTTTTTATAGTCTAAAAGTATAAAACAGTTTGTACAAAATCTCTTTTTGATTTTAGTTAGGCTTCTAGCCCCTCTTTCCACCTATCCATCAAAAATGTTCTTGTCAAGATTACTGTGTTAAAGTAAATGGACAATTATTAGACCTACTTATCTAAAAATATATCCAAATAATGATTACAGTGGTCACTATAATGATAAGCAATGATGAGTTCATTATATTATATGTAGTGTGATCATCATTAACTCTAAATTTGTATGCCCTGCAAGTATCAGGAGAAAAAACACACACACAGACACAAAAAACCTTTATTCTCTTTGTCTTGGTGATGCAAACAGGTAAAACAGCTGCCCCAGTGTATGAATAACAGCCTTGGTTTTTCTATCATGTATACGGTACAACATTTCCCTTTATGTAAAACCAGATGCAATTGATGTTATGTGGTTCTAGTAATTGAGTATCATTGAGGTAAGAAATGTACATATATTTGAGATTGGGAAAATGAAAGAAAAAAATGTCCATTAAATTTTTTAGAAATTTCAATTACTCTGAAAAATTTCAAAATATAAAATTAAAACAATCCACCCTATTGGCTTAGTCTGATCATGTTCTGTTAAAAATGATGACGGCTGTGCAATTAATATGTGTTATCATTAAAAATGAAAGTGAAAATCGTGGGGATATCAATTTGTTATGGCAGACCATGGAAAATATACAGGCACAAAAAAATTCCCACAATTTACAAATTCCTAACATTCTTTTTGGTAAAGAAAGGCCTTCCCATTTTATAAAATACTGATGTAATTATTAAAGCAAAAGTTGCTTGATGATTTTTTCTGAATCGCAGCTTGTATTCTTTAATAATTAAAAATGATCCATCAGTGTCTATTCTCTCCAACTAACCTTGTCTCTCTTGCTCACATTGATAAGCCTCATATCTAGCCCATTAACTGATGTGAGCTCAGATTTGTGCCCTGAATCGCCCCATTAACAAGGTTTTGGAGTTTGAAGTTTTAATCCCATGAGGCTAACGCCATTTGGGACACATAGGTAGAAGACTTCTTAACAGAAAAAAAATGCCAGACAAACTGTTTGTGAAAAGATAACGATTGAAAAAAACAGCAAGGAGAATTCCTTATGTGTTGAATGTCCCCTACAGCCTAATTAATGGGGTCATGCACCCATTTACTATGCTAATTATATTTTCTTTTTTATTTTCTGCTCTCTTATATACAGTAATTGGTAACAATGGGCCTCTTTTGTGCCCTTTATTTCTCGTGTTTAAAAATAAATGGACTATCCTGTTCTTGTAATTGAAATTAAAAGAAATGGACTATAAGTAATGTCATAATAAAAGTATTATATAATCAATTTCTCCTCATCTATGGATGGATCAGATCCATTTGAATTTTCTTTAGCAAAGTACACTAACTTCCCTTTACACACAAATATTTTTAGTATGTGTTTTTGAATGCACTCATATAATTTTATCAGAAATGTTATGTAAGTAAACATCAAAGTAAGCCATAAAAATGTTGTGTAATTTATTCCACTTAAATTTAAACATCCCATTTATTTTTCCCCCAAAGACTCATTTTTCTAAAGCCTCTCTTTATTAACTAGTGTTTAATAGTTGATAACATTGTATATATAAACTTTCGTCATGTCTGTATTTTTATGTCACTGAAACACAAGATGGTTCCAACTAACGTGAAAAATCATATACTGGAATTCAGCACGGCAACAGACACGTAGCAAGTGATTAGTAATCATTTTTTCTATTTCTCACAAGTGCAGAATACAATTATTTCTAAGAAATTAATGTTTTCATTTGTAATTTTATTCTGCATTTATATGATCTGATTTTTTTATTATACTTTAAATTCTACGGTACATGTGCACAACATGCAGGTTTGTTACATATGTATACATGTGCCATGTTGGTGTGCTGCATCCATTAACTCGTCATTTAGCATTAGGTATATCTCCCAATGCTATCTCTCCCCCCTCCCCCCACCCCATGACAGGCCCCGGTTTGTGATGTTCCCCTTCCTGTGTCCAAATGTTCTCATTGTTCAATTCCCACCTATGAGTGAGAACATGCGGTGTTTGGTTTTTTGTCCCTGTGATAGTTTGCTGAGAATGATGGTTTCCAGCTTCATCCATGTCCCTACAAAGGACATGAACTCATCCTTTTTTATGGCTGCATAGTATTTCATGGTGTATATGTGCCACATTTTCTTAATCCAGTCTATCATTGTTGGACATTTGGGTTGGTTCCAAGTCTTTGCTATTGTGAATAGTGCCACAATAAACATACGTGTTCATGTGTCCCTACAGCAGCATGATTTATAGTCCTTTGGGTATATACCCAATAATGGAATGGTTGGGTCAAATGGTATTTCTAGTTCTAGATCCTTGAGGAATCGCCACACTGTCATCCACAATGGTTGAATTAGTACAGTCCCACCAACAGTGTAAAAGTGATCCTATTTCTCCACATCCTCTCCAGCACCTGTTGTTTCCTGACTTTTTAATGATCGCCATCGTAACTGGTGTGAGATGGTATCTCATTGTGGTTTTGATTTGCATTTCTCTGATGGCCAGTGATGGTGAGCATTTTTTCATGTGTTTTTTGCCTGCATAAATGTCTTCTTTTGAGAAGTGTCTGTTCATATCTTTTGCCCACTTTTTGATGCGGTTGTTTTTTTTTTTTTCCTGTAAATTTGTTTGGGTTCATTGTAGATTCTGGATATTAGCCCTTTGTCAGATGAGGAGATTGCAAAAGTTTTCTCCCATGCTGCAGGTTGCCTGTTCACTCTGATGGTGGTTTCTTCTGCTGTGCAGAAGCTCTTTAGTTTAATTAGATCCCATTTGTCAATTTTGGCTTTTGTTGCCATTGCTTTTGGTGTTTTAGACATGAAGTCCTTGCCCATGCCTATGTCCTGAATGGTATTGCCTAGGTTTTCTTCTACGGTTTTTATGGTTTTAGGTCTAACATTTAAGTCTTTAGTCCATCTTGAATTAATTTTTGTATAACGTGTAAGGAAGGGATCCAGTTTCAGCTTTCTACATATGGCTAGCCAGTTTTCCCAACACCATTTATTAAATAGGGAATCCTTTCCCCATTTCTTGTTTTTGTCAGGTTTGTCAAGGATCAGATGGTTGTAGATGTATGGTATTATTTCTGAGGGCTCTGTTCTGTTCCATTGGTCTATATCTCTGTTTTGGTACCAGTACCATGCTGTTTTGGTTAATGTAGCCTTGTAGTCTAGTTTGAAGTCAGGTAGCATGACGTCTCCAGTTTTGTTCTTTTGGCTTAGGATTGTCTTGGCAACGTGGGCTCTTTTTTTGTTCCATATGAACTTTAGTTTTTTCCAATTCTGTGAAGAAAGTCATTGGTAGCTTGATGGGGACGGCATTAAATCTATAAATTACCTTGGGCAGTATGGCTATTTTCACGATACTGATTCTTCCTATCCATGGGCATGGAATGTTCTTCCATTTGTTTGTGTCTTCTTTTATTTTGTTGAGCAGTGGTTTGTAGTTGTCCTTGAAGAGGTCCTTCACATCCCTTTTAAGTTGGATTCCTAGGTATTTTATTCTCTTTGAAGCAATTGTGAATGGGAGTTCACTCATGATTTGGCTCTCTGTTTGTCTGATCTGGTATTTTAAATTAAAGATTATTTAATCAAATTATATTTCTGATTCTTAAAAACACTAAGTCTCCATTAATGCAATGTTCACTCACTGCTGAGGTTGTCATGCCAGGTTGGGCTGTTTTGCCATTGTATTATTACTTGCAAGTTTCTTCAAAAGGAGTTTTCATTATACTTATTTCTTGTATATCAACTCTGTATTGCACCTTCCCAGTTTAGTGAACAGTCTCCGCTTCAGACTTCCTGTATTCTAACACAGGCTGGATGTATAGAGTAATTTTATCCCCCTAGGTTTCTTTTCCATTGTCAATAAATAATAACAGTACCTTTCATAGGTTTGTTACAAGGATCAAATAGAATAATTTTTAATTAATAATTGCTTCCACAATACTTATTATGTGTTAGAGATTTATTACAAATATTATCTAATTTAATTCAAAAATAACTCTGTTATTATTCTCATTATGCCATGTCAAGAGATTGAGGCACAAAGAGATTAAGTAATTTGTTTAAGGTCTGACAGTTATGTTTCAATCCAGAGACTCTGTTTCCAGTCTCTTTGTATTTAATGGCTGTGTCATTTGCTATCTGACCAAGATGGTCTTAATGTTCCCTTAAGTTTGAATAAACTGTAGAAAGATTTCCTTCTGACTATAGTCTGCTTACCTCTCTTCTTTTCAGGTATTTCTGCCCCCTCCCCCTCCCCACGGCCCCACCCACTGTCAATCTTTGTGGGAGGGTAGAAGCCTAACTTGGTAAGTGGTAATTAGCAAATACAAGTTGCCTAATCACATGGACCAACCTGCCCCCTAAAGTCCTCCAGTACTTTTCCACTAGTTTACTCCTTAAAAGTTTTCCTCCTTTCTACTCAGTGGAGTAGAATTCAATCCCACTGCCCTACATGAAGCTATTGCAATAGTCCTTTTTTTAATGTTGTAAGGCTATTTAATTTACATACAAGAATGTTTATGACATTATTTAGAATTACAGAAACTTGAGAACAACTATAAAGGGAGTATGGTTAAATGTATCTGCACAGAGGAATCTTTTAGTCAATAAAATATGTCTAAATAATATTTCAGCTATTATAATATCCTCAACTCTATGTTGAGCACGTCCCAATTACATAAATGTGTATGTACAAATAAACCCCCTCCTTGACCACATACTTCAGCCTGTTTAATCAACTTCTCCCACTGCTAATAATTTTTCACCTCACTGGTACTTATGATCATTTGACCTGTTTATTTCCCTCTATCCTTAAGTTTCTTGCTACACTCACTTCACTATCAAATTTGGATTCAAAATCCCAGTGATGCAAATTATAAATAGAAACATTTGCTTTCTACATGCCGTCAGAACACAGCTGAGGAAAACTGAATAGCCATCAGAATAACATCAACGAAAACACATTACTATTAACCCTAAGAGGGTCCTTACCGCATACAAGATATCCTAATATTTTTCTGGCCACTTTTTTCCAGTTTATGGAAATTTACATCATTTCTGCCTTTATCAATTTCTATCATTTCTGCCTTTCTCATTCTCAGCTAATTTTAAATCATGAAGGAAATATAGCTTCTCTTTATAGAAGGCCATTTTTCCAAGTTCCCTTGAAAACCCATCCCTCCCAGATTCTTACTCTGTCATCCTTTTTTTTCTAATGAATCTTCTGCTTCCCCCTCTCCACTGAAAGCTTTTCTGTAGAATTAGATTTACTCTCCTTTCACCTTTCATTCACTTCTTAACCTATTTCAATCATCTGGCCAAACCCCAAACTTTCCCATAAAACTGATTTTGATATATTTACCAACAATTTATAACAGAAATTCTCTTGTTGCCTTAATTGATTTTCAACTGCCTCTAGCAGAGTTGACTATACACCTTATTTCGAAAGTTTTCTATTTTGTCCTCAAAGATGTTAAATTCTACTAGTTTTATTTCCGCACCTCTCAGAGTTCCTTCTCTTTCTCTTTTGCTTTCAGGAGTCTGCTATCTCAGAATGCAAGTGTATGCCTTCTTTTAATTATTTTTCACTCTTTCTTATTCGGTCTAACATGAATGGCTTTAAATGCCTTCTACATGCTGACCCCTTCCTTGTTCTCTCTTTTGAGTTTCAGACTGCATGTACATCCACCTAGGAAACGTCTTCACTTGGCCAGACAAGATCCTTTTTTTTTGGAGACAGAGTCTCGCTCTGGCCCAGGCTGGAGTGCAGTGGCGAGATCTCGGCTCACTGCAAGCTCCGCCTCCCAGGTTCACGCCATTCTCCTGCCTCAGCCTCCTGAGTAGGTGGGACTACAGGCACCCGCTGCCATGCCCAGCTAATTTTTTATTTTTAGGAGAGACGGGGTTTCAATGTGTTAGCCAGGATGGTCTCGATCTCCTGACCTCGTGATCAAGATTCTTGAATAAAGTTTTCTTTGCCCACTTAACGCCTTTCAGTACATTTTTTTTCTGTGACATATCATCCAGCCTGTTATATAATAAGTGCTCTAAACATACTAACTACTGTCATCATTTTATTCCACATGAAAATATTATTGTGTTTGCTTTTCAAATATTCTTCACAGACCGTGATTTCCAGCTAAAGGTCCCTGTCTTCTAAATGTTCTCCAAAACACTGCTGTCACTGAAAGTAAAGAGTCCATGACTGAAAGCATTACTCAAAATGTCTCAGGGAAGAAGAGGAGAAAAAGACTAGTTCTGCTGCCCCACTTCTAAAGATTATATTTCAATAAATACATCCTGAGCCACATTACTATTTCTTAACTTCGAATGTATGGTCAACCACATTCCTAAAGCTATTTTTACATTTGTCACTACTCAGCCATGGTTTCCATGCTTTACACACATTGATAGTGAGTAAATGGCTTTTTTGGAACTGCATCCAACTGCTTGCAATCACAGGCATCACAGAATCAATGTATAAATTCAGCACATAAAACTCTTCCTGTAAAAACAAGTTAAAAACTGAAAGGTGGAAAATATTTTATTTTAGACTGAGATGGACAATTAGAATG
Source organism: Homo sapiens (assembly GCF_000001405.40). Lineage (NCBI taxonomy): Eukaryota > Metazoa > Chordata > Mammalia > Primates > Hominidae > Homo > Homo sapiens. The sequence continues at coordinate 102,739,711 of NC_000009.12, forward strand.
AGACTTAATTTTGTATTCAAACCAGAGATAGGCCCTTATGGTAATTCATTTTATTCTTCAGTAATATCCAAATCTTAATATAATTAAATCTAGAGGAAAAAATGGCTTGCTGTATTCTGAATTAGAGGTGAGTTGCCAGTGACACAAAGAGATAAAAGAACTCTCCTGAGATCCCATCAACTTCAAATTCTTACCTGCTTGACCTCAACATTTTCTCAACTTTTAAAGGTGGATAATAGTAACGTAATAGCACAGACACAATAATTAAATTCAATAATTTGTGTGAGTTATGTGTACTTATAATAAATGTTACTTTCATAAAAGATTATATATATAAGATATATATCTATACGCCATAAACTTTAAAATATTTTTATTGAACTATAATTGGCATATTTAAAGTGGAAAAAAAATAAATGTCACTTTCTTCCCTCACCACAAAATAAGCCCTCTACCCGTGGTTCCTCTAAAAATACCTCACTTAAGGAATTGTGGTTAGACCTTATGTCAGGATTTCTAGTGTCATAACTCCTCGAATCACCTTTAGAAGGTAACTTTAACATTTAATTAAATTTATTAATAAGAGCTTTCTTTCAAAAACAACATGTGACAGTATAATAGATACACTTGTTAGCCTATAAACTAAACAACTAATAAACCAGTGCAGCGATAGGTACATGGATAAAACACGTGTGTGGGAGATAAATAGAGTGGAATACTTCTCATTGCATTTATACAATGGAATATTGATTCCCATGTTTCTAATGTGAAGTCTGTGGTATTCTCAGTGCTGTCCCTTTGTATGGAATGTGTCTTTTTCCTTCTCCTGGCTACCTTTAAAATCTTTATTGCTTTTGTATTTATCATAACTTTTTCACAATTTGATTTTAATCAGCCTTGATAAGGGGTGTGTGTGTGTATGTGTGCAAGTGCAATTGTGTGATTTTTTAAATCATATTTTGTTCCCAGCCACAAGTAGTTCTCTCTTATACTTACACAGATCACCACTAAGTTTGAAAAATCATAAGGAATTTTCCACTGACGTCATCCTCTTTCTCTATTTCTCTTTCTCTTTGAATCTACCTTCTCTCTAGGACTCTGCTATGCAAATGCTGCCTATTTCTACCTCCCTAAACTATAGTGTACATCTGCAATTCTAACAGAACACAGGCTTTTTTTGCACACTATCCACAAACAGTAAGCTAGGAAACCACAGGGCTCCACTCATTTTTATTCCATTTACCAAAGATCACAGTCCTACAGTACCTGTTGTCCAATGACTAAAAGCCTCTGTTTCACATATACTCTCCAGCTTCTAGTTGTGTAAGGGTGAATTTATATCCTCTTCCTCAATCGTGACAAGATGAATTTCACATTATCTATTATTTATGTATTTATTTTGAAACTTTTGCATTAGGTACATATATATTTAGGAATGCATGTCTTTTTGGCGACCTGACACCATTATTATTATTATGAAATACTCCTGTTTTTATACATATGGGCATTGCTTTTTCTTCAGTCTGCTTTTTCCGATACTAATATACTCACTACAGTTTTTTTATGCTTAGTAATTTACATAGAATGTGTCTTTCTAAGCTTTTAACCTAGCTATAATTTCAAAATATTACTTAATATGAGTTTCCTGTGGGCAGCATATGTTTGTGCCTGGCCTTTTCATCAAGTTTGATTACCTCTGCCATTTAAATAAGATGATTAAACGACCATAAAATTTTGATTATCAGTATATTTGACTAAAGAGCTAGATAACCAATCTTTCTACAATCTTGATATTTGATTCCAATTTATTTTATCTGGTCTTTGCTCTATTTTTTCTTTCCCACCTACTTTTGGATTGAGTACATTTGTAGTCTGTATTTTTAAACCTTACTGGCTGTAGCTAATTTCCTTTGTTTTAATTTTATTGACTTTTTTATACATTATAATATACATTTTTAACTTATCACAGTTCATGCCCAAATATTATGCCATAACACATATAAAATTAGAACTTTAGGAGACTGTACTTTCATTTATTCCTCCAATCTTTTCAATTGTTGGCATTTACTTCTATGTATGTTTAAAACAAACCACAAATGCATTATTATTATTTTCACTTTATCCTCTCAATTGTATCTTTTTAACAATAGACTTTAATTTTTACAGGAGTTTTAGACTAATGGCAATAATGAGTGGAAATTACAAGTCCCCCTATATTCCTGACTCCACACCGGAACAGACTTCCTCACTATCAACAACCCACACTAGAGTGATACATTTATTACAATCCATGAATCAGTATTGACACACCATTATCAACTAAAGTCCATAATATGTGTTAGGGCTTATATTTGGTATTGTACATTCTATGGGTCTGGACAAATGTATAATGATAAGCATGCACTGTTATAATAGCATACAGACTGGTTTCACATCTCCAAAAAGCCTCTGTATTCCACCTATTCGTCCATTCTTCCCTCCTAATCTCTGGCAACCATGGATCTTTTTATTGTCTCCATAGTTTTGCCTTTTCTATAATTTGATATGTTTTGCAAACAATAGATATATAGCCTTTTAAGGTTAGTTTATTTCACTCTTTTTCATAGATTTTACTTTGGTGTTCTATTAAAAAAGTCACTGTCAAACCTAATGTCATCTAGATTTTTTCCTGTTATCTTCTAGGAGTTACATAGTTTTGCATTTTATACTTAGGTCTATGATCCATTTGAGTTAGATTTTATGAAAGGTATAAGGTTTTTGTCTATGATTTTTTTTTTTGCAGGTGGATGTCCAGTTGTTTCAGCATCATTTGTGGAAAAGACTGTATTTTCTCTATTGTATTGGTATTTAGACCTTGCCTCTGGGCAGGAAGCTTTGGTAATCTTGGTGAGGAAGATCTTCATACAGGGTGGTAGTCAGGCATGGGGTATTGGAGTCTGAAGCTATGGAGGAATAGCCGAAATTGTTCAATTCAGAGCCTGAAAAAGATCAGGAGGGAATCTATGTGGGAAGACGTAGTAGTGAAAGGGTGACATGGCTTCACAAGCCAAATTTCTGTACTTATTCTAGTCCAATGTTTGTAAACATAATTTTCCTCATATATTTTGTCAAATTTACCAGTAGTTTTAAGGTACAGTGCATGTCTTTTAGAAATTATTCCTTCAAGGACAGCAGCAGAAATCTCATTTATATTTTTCCATCCATTTCTATGTATTTTAAGCCATGAATTAATAATGATACTGCCAGGGACAATCTAACAGTTTTATGTTTTTTGATATTTCTCTCTTCCACAGCATTGAGAAACCCGCCATTATCTTTAATATGTTAATTGACTTGATCCATCCTCCTGAATGTAACCAACCTTTTCTCTTTGCCAGTACATTCCACACCCCACTGAGGCTCTGACATCCACTTATATGCCTCCTCCAAATGGGAAAATCCTCATTACCCCCATTAGGATGTTGGCATTCCACAGGAGACCACCCTTCTGCATGGGCACCTCCTTCTCCTTCTCCTTCTTCTTCTTTGAGATGGTGTCTCGCTCTGTTGCCAGTCTGCAGTGCAGTGGCATGATCTCAGCTCACTGCAACCTCTGCCTCCAAGGTTCAAGCTATTCTTCTGCCTCAGCCTCCCAAGTAGCTGGGACTACAGGCGTGCACCACCATGTTCAGCTAATTTTCATATTTTTAGTAGAGATGGAGTTTCACTATGCTGGCCAGGATGGTCTCCATCTCTTGACCTTGCGATCTGCCTGTCTCGGCCTCCCAAAGTGCTGGGATTACAGGAGGGAGACACTGTGTAGAACACTGGTGCTTCACAATGGACCTTCCCCCTGGAGGGGCATTCTCTTGGTACCACCTGAATTCTGTCCTTTATTTTCTGTCTCCACTTTTGAATGTTTTTCTTAGTCATTCAGACTCTGAGTAACTCTTCTGAGCTGCTCTCCCTCTTGAATACCTTCCTCACCATGGTTAGGTTCTGGCACCTTTTCTTGTGCCTTATTCCCACATAGACCCCCCCACCGATCCTCCTTATGCTTTGAATTGCCACCTTATGGTATCCCTCCTTGTGAAAGTGTTTCACACAGTTCATGCTCCAAGACCCTGTGTCTCAGTATGACTCTACGTGAAGTCCTCCCTTGCCATGCTTGAGTTCTGATACTTTTTGTCAGGCCACATCTTCACTACGATACCCTTCTCCCCTGTTTAAGCTCTGACTGTTCATGCTAGGCCACCTCAAAATCTGTCACCCCATTTCAGGCCACCTCTGTGAGCTGTCATGTGTTATCCAATTGGCCACACTACTCTAGGCCTTTTTACAGTATGAACACCCTCTGTGACTCTCTCAGGCTCTGACAACTCACTGTCAGCCACTGATATACTTATTCTATTTGTGTTTGCTGTTTCACAATAGGTAGCCCCCCTGCTGGACACCTTCCTCAACTTGCTTTGGCTCTGTCATTGATGTTGGGACTTCTCTAGGCCTGGGCCACCCTTTTCCTGTAACTGGCACTGCCAACTGGCACCAGCTACCCATATTCTTCAACAAGCTCTTGAGTACATGTGGGTTCAGATTCTGCTAACTAGAGGAATGCTTTCCTAATTCCACTTGGACTCTGACTACCACAACTGGTTGCATCCTGTATTGACACCCTATTCGCTCCACTTACATTCCCAAATCCCATGCCAGGCTGATTCTCCATATGGATAAACTTTGTACCCTTATTTGACTTTGACACCCCATCCCAAGTGGTCTCTCAGTGTGGATGGCTGTCACTCCACTTGGACTCTGACGCCTCAAGCCAGGGCACCCATGCAGAGGATGTTTACTTTCCTCTGGCCCCAACTAATGGATTTAAGATTGAATCATTTATGAATGGAAGGGAAAGGATAAGAAAAGAAACAAATAGGAAAAAAGATACGGAGAGAAAACCCCATGGTCGTATTTCAAGGCATCAAATTACATAATATAATCCAGGCAGAGTATACAGAGCTAGATGAATCACTGAATTGTATTTTGAGTCACTGTGTATTTATCTCTCTTCTACTTCTAAATTTAAAAATTTCAAAAATCCACCAAGTTTTTATAGAAGTAAGGTGTAATGTTTGTCAGGAAACAAAGGGTGTGTGCTTTTAAAGAGCTTATTTTGATTGTTTAACTAAAGCTTATTTATACTTGCTGACAAATACAGTTGCTTAATAATTTAAGTAGGTTAAAGAAATCCATAGTTATTTAAATTAAGTGACTATACATGTCTTTTTGTGCTTGTACTATAGAAAATTTACAATAAAAATTCCATATAGTAAATTAAGATCCAAGGGACTGTCTATAATTGGGTGAATCTATTGATTCAAACTTGCTATGTGGGGGATAGATGAAAGGTTTATTGCAGTCTGTCTCATTCAAACACAACAAAGGCTAATAAAAATGAAAAGAATAATTAGTATTAGTAAATCCATATTTGTGGAAATATGATCAATAATTTTTTGAAATTCATCAAATTGACATGCCAAGTATAAAGCTAATTAAAATTTGTGTAATATCTTACAATGGGGATAACTCACATATACCATATATATAGCAGGAAAATGTATCTATTGTATGGAAAGAGAGCCTATTGTCTATGTGCTCCCAGTGACTAACTGAGAAGAATAAGTTAATTATTTGAACCTCTTTATGCTTTCTTCCTTCCCTCAGAAGCAATTACAAGAGTACTACATTTTACACAGGAGACTTTCTTTGTTTCTGTCAAATATTAAGGCTACCAGAAACAAATGGAATTGTTAGCAGGATGATGGGAAATGTTCTGTTAGTTTTAAGAAGTGATGGTGTAAGCCATAATTGCAGAGACAATGAGTTATTTCTGGTGGAGTTTAGTACTGGATGATCCCGCAATGACAGTTTGCATTTTGTCTAATTGGGCAAGCAGACTTGACATAATGTGGTTTATATTCAATTCCTTGTAACTCAATGGGTAGAAAGGAGAAACTTACAAATAGCTTTTGCTTCCACAAGTGTAGCCTGGTCTCTATAAGATATGGATGGGCTCAGGGGTGGTTAAAGAAGTAGAATTAAATTTAGTGGGCATTATTGTCTAAGAGTCTTAAATTGTTTTCTTACATGTTGGAAATTATTCATGAAATTGTTAGGTTTCTCTGCTGGAAGATAAAATAATCTCAGTTAAACTTAAATAAAATAAAATTAACATTTTTGAACATGTAATACATGTCAGATATGAAATAGAACATTTACATATATAATTTAAATTTATCTTCACATTTAAATCCAGTTTATAATCCATCAAAGGGATATAGGCAACAGCTGGCAAATGCTAGCGCTGAAACTGTAACCCAGATATGGATGATTTCAAAAATACATTATTTTTTTAAAGAAGTATGTTGGTTAATTTTCTAACAAACTAGCATCCTCAATTCGAACTTACAGTTGCACGTTTAGCAAATGAAAGGTTTTTGTCATAAAGGGGTTCATATTCTGCCCAACTTGTTTTCTTTAAAAATTTCAATGTTCATTTCATATCAGTTACATCTAAATCTTCAAACTGCCATTGTGACTCATTGATCCACTCAATACAGTCAAAGCAGTGGGTAATTTATAAATATACATTACTATAGAATTATGTCAATATTATATGCTTGGGCCATCCAGTTGCTCAAATTGAGTAGGAAAGTCAAATTAATTCCAATACCACTAGATAGATATTGCCTAGATGACTTAAATTTCTTCCAAAACATTCATCTTTAATGTATATTGACTCAATTCTTTAATACCTACAGAAACTAGATACTCATTATCTTAGGTAGCAGACATACTTGGATCTCTCTGGCATAAAACCCTGCCTTTACTTAAATGAAAATCTATATTTGAAATACTTATCTGAAACAGACATTAATCCCCTTGCTCATGACAGACTTTCAAATACTGAAAAGATATACCTAATTCCCCTGTGAGACCACATTTTCTATTCTAAAATGCCATGCTGCCTTCCATAATTTGTCTTTTGAGATAGTTTAGAGTCCCTTCAATTCTTCATTTTTATCTGAATTAATTCCTTTTTTATATACCTGACATTGAACAAAACATTTGAGGAAATGTCATCCCCTTAATTCCCACAGCTGGCAAATCATGTCATTTGTCACACACAATTATAAGTCCATTGAGAAACTTGTCATTTTGTAGTATCTACGGAATCTATTAAAGTATATATATATATATTCATCTTTTTCACAGTTAACTGGCATATTACATATTTTAAAACATTACTGATTGTGTTACACTTTTAGTTAACAGTAAGAAACAAAATTATAGATGACATAGATGAGTAGTTAATATGAATGTTTGCTCTCTAGGAGTTATATCAGCCAAGAATAAAAGTGTCACTTTATGCAAACATTATTTTGAAGCTGAGTTAGGTGAGCGAGTAATTTGTACGGTTTTCCTACAATATTTTCATCTTAGAGGTTCAATATGCTTTTCCCAATAATGATAAAATGGTTACATAGTTCAATAAAGAACTACTAAGGTCAAACCTCATATAATAAAGATACTCAAATTGTTCTTTTAAAGCTTCTTCTTCTTTTATGATTTTTATTTGTGCTAGGAATTTTAAATCAAAAACCAATTAAAATAAAATAAAATCCAATTTTACGGGCCATAGATATGATGCAATTTCATTTATCATTACAGAGACTCTCCACTTAGATCCCTTTTGCACATTTCCTTCCAAGAAAATATCTTTTTCTCCAGCTGCATCAGTAAACTAAAGATGTAACATTGTTCAATTTTTCTTGTGTGTGCTTTGTTTTCACCTGACATCAGGTGATGTCAGCTGTCAATCTGCAAGCTACAACGTGAACAAATTCTTGCCATACTGAATGTGTTGGCACAGTTATTGTAATGCCAATGAATGCTTTATCTGGAGAACACATTTTCTGAACACTTTGAAAATTAGTCCTTGTAAAATGTTTTTTTTCACATGTATTCTCATATGAAGCATTCTTGTAATTGTACTTATTTAGTTCTTGTAAATGTACTTATTTAGTTCTAAAATTACTACTAATTTAAAATTAATGTAAGTATGTGGTCTTATAAATACTTAACCAAAATGTAAGTGATATATTAAAATTAATTTAGTTTTTTCTTCTGCAACAAAAGAATTAAAATATACATTTGCATATTAGCCCTGTCACACCTGATATTAAATATGACTCAAGGACCAAATATAAAAAGAAAAAATATACTAGGTTACATTATAAAGTTATATAAAACCTTGTGCTTTAGAATCTAACTAAATGCAATTCATATGTTATACATATTAATAACATATTTCAAATATGAATAACAAAAGAGGAAAATAAAATATGTATTTAGAAAATGCACTCTTTGTTTCTTTTAGATATTGTTTTATCTGCCTATGTCCCCCCAATTAAAAGCATTTTTTGTTTTATTTTAACTTCAAAAACTTCTAAGTTATAAAACAAAGAAAACTTCAAAATGAGTGAATCACAGTGTGCGCCTCTCTCAACTGTTGTGGTATGACATAGTGACTATATCTGCAATTAAATTTCAGTCACAAAAATTGGCAGAATTAAGGGGATAGAGAGGAATGGAGTCCATGACAATCAACATGGTGAATGAAATTAAGTTTCTGGAAAGTGACAATCTACATAAAGGAAAATAAGTCAGGATAGATGACATTAAATATAGCTACACCCTCTGACTCTCCCACATACTACTAAAGTGTGTATTTGAGTAGTTCAGAGTTAGAGGAAGATGATTTTCTGTTCTAATTCACTTTTATCTTTTCGTAACCATGTTTCCCCATCCCCTCATCTCTCAAGGAGCATTATTCATTGCTGTTTATCCTACAGATTCTATTCTCATTGTTCTACTTCTTTCCTCAGTCTTTCTTACTTCTCTCTCCAATTCTCCTACTTTTCTCTCTTCAATTCTCCTTCTGCTTCTCTTCCTTAACAAGACCAAAGTGGTGATTTGGCAGAGAAAATCTTTCACTCTCTTTTATTTTACCTATGATATAATTAATCTAAAAGCTCACATAAAAATATATGTGAGTCTCAATGAATAGGTTCTTTCTTATTTTTGAGAGTGTATTATGTCAGCTTTAAAGGTGCAGTTGAATAACAGCATCTGAGTCAGAATTTTTTAAAACAAAATAATTAAAATTACAATATGCTTTATGTCAAATTAATTAAATTTTTAGGCACTTGAAAAATTTTTATGATTATCACTGCCAAGTGGTAATTATAAGCCACCAAGTAAAAAGAGATCAACAGGTGACCTCAGTAAACTGTATTGAGGAGGGTAAAGGCCATGGTTAAAACATGACTCTAAGGCTGGGTGTGGTGGCTCAAGCCTGTAATCCCAGCACTTTGGGAGGCTGAGGCCGGAGGATCATGAGGTCAGGAGATCAAGACCATCCTGGCCAACATGGTGAAACCCCGTATCTACTAAAAATACACAAAAAATTAGCCGGGGGGCGGGGGGCGGGGGGCGGGGGGCGGAGGGGGTGGCGCGTGCCTGTAGTCCCAGCTATTCGGGTGGCTGAGGCAGAATAATTGGTTGAACCTGAGAGGCAGAGGCTGCAGTGAGCCAAGATCGCACCACTGCACTCCAGCCTAGGTGACAGAGCAAGACATTCTGTCTCAAAAAGGCCTGGCGTGGTGGCTCACGCCTGTAATCTCAGCACTTTGGGAGGCTGAGGTGGGCAGATCACGAGGTCAGGACATCGAGACCATTCTGGCTAACATGGTCAAACCTCGTCTTTACCAAAAATACAAAAAATTAGCCGGGCGTGGTGGCAGACGCCTGTAGTCCCAGCTACTCGGGAGGCTGAGGCAGGAGAATGGTGTGAACCCGGGAGGCAGAGCTTGCAGTGAGCCCAGATGGAGCCACTGCACTCCAGCCTGGGCAACAGAGGGAGACTCCGTCTCAAAAACAAAACAAAACAAAACAAGGCAAAACAAACAAAAAGACTCTAATTTGATTGGAACAAACCTATTAAACTCTTTGTGCCTTATTCTTATTTAATATTAAATGAAGATATTATGTATTATCTACATAATTGTAAGCTAGTTATGGTGCTAAGTATAAAGTACCTTATAAAAATTGAAAAACACAACCAGCCATAGAGTATTCTGGTAATGAAAGAAAAGAAAGGCAGCCTCTATTTATTCCAAAATGTCTCTTTGTATGAAATCATATATATCTAGTGGTCATATTTGTAGCTTTAAACACACGAAAGACATTTTGGAAACACCTTCAGTACTTTCTTAAGTAACTTTTCTATTACTAAATTCTGCTCACATCGTTGTGTCAAAACACAATTAGTTTTCTTTTATAGCCTTATGTCATGGTTTTTTACTTTTGTTCGGTCTTGTTCATTAGAATATAAGCTCCAAAAAATTGAAAAACATATCTCTTTAATTTGCCATTGTACATCCGGAAGATAACAAAAGGGGGAAAATGGACTAATGAAAGTAAAAGCATACACACATAGCCTAATTAAGTAATGGCTAATACCAGGCAATGTGAAATCACTCGAAATAAAAATGAAATGCAAATTAAAATATTAATGAAATACTTTGTTATCCAATAGTAATTCTTTAGGTAGCTATTGTATGGTTGGAGGGAATAAACTTGCTTTCAAATACCAACCAAAAGATTCTTGAATATTAATTTAACCCTGGCAAAAACAAACAGAAAGCCCAAAACATAAAAGGCACAAATACTTGCAACCCAGCTATTATCTAGGATTACTGTATTTCTTATCAGCTAGACTAAACACACATTTGAGGTCTTGTGGAAATAATAATGTCTTCTCCAAGATTTCTGTAAGTAAGTTATGATCAGATGGCCACCTGTGGCTCAGTTTCTTTTATTTATTTAATTCTTTCTCTGCTTTCTACTCTTCCCTTTTTAGTAACAATTTCAAGTGTCAGTAGCACCCCCTTGCCTTGAAATTTCCTAGGCCCTCAACAAAATCAAGCAAATATAAATACAAAGAAACCCCACTTTTTTGCAAGTTTGTAATGATTTGTCAGTCATAAAAGAGGAGTTATGTTAATAAATCTTAAGTATTATTTAAAAAATATCTCTTTTCTGCAAAAGTCTTCAGAACTACATTTTCCACTGGCCATATGAAGCTCTGTTATGTTGCTGGCTCTTGTCTGCTGAGCTCCATTTTGATTGCATATTTCCTGCATAGAACTTCCAAATGTGTTCTCATTTATTAGTCCCTAACAGTCTCAGCTGGAAGGCTACACTATTACAAAATGTTCAGTTAAGATAAATGTAGAAGACCTTGTACATCTTTTGCCAATAACAAGGGAAAGATTTTTTTTTCTCCTCTAAAATCATCTAGGATACAAAATAGTAATATTTTAAACCATTATTTCTCCTTTAGGTGATTTAAATAATTTTTAGTGTGGTACATGTGACCAAAAATTGTGAGACTTCTTATCTCAGCTCTGACCTTCATTAGCTATTGAATTTTAGGAAAGTTGTAGTAAGCAAAATAATGAACCCCTAAATATGCCCATGTTCAAATCCCTGGAACCTGTGAATATGTTACTTTACATGGAAAAGGGGGACTTTGCAGGTGCGATTAAAGACCTTGGGTTGAGGAGATATTCCTGGACTATTTTGGTGGGCCCAATGAAATCACATAAATCCTTAAAAAACCTTTTCTACCTAAAGTCAGAGTCAGAAAGGTATGTGATGTTAAAGTGATCAGAGAGATGCAGTGTTGCTGACTTTGAAGACAGGAAATAAAGGCTATAAGCCAAGGAATGTTATTGACCTCTACAATCTAGAAAAGCAAATGAAACATATTCTCTTCTAGAGGTTCCTAAAAGGAACATAGTCAAACTGATGCCTTGATTTTACCACAGTGAAATCTGTGTTGGACTTCTCAAATACAGAACTGTAAGGTAGTAAGTTTGGGCTGTTTTAAGTTACCAAATTTGTAGTATATTTCACAGCAGTAATAAAAAACCAATATAAAAGTCACTTTTTCCTTAGTTCTTCTTCATGTAAAAAGGTAATTAGAATAAAACTCTTTACAAACAACTCAGATCTTGATTTGCTAATGAATATGCCTACAGTGGTAATTTTGGGAGATTAATCTTCATTATTTTCCTACGGAATAGGTGGGAACTGAAGAACCACCTATTAATATTGTCAAAGAAAAATAAAAATGTGGGACCCCCAATTCACTATGCCAAAAGAAAACAGTTAAGCTGAAAGATGAATCATGAAAGATGCTGACCTTCCTTTTGTTCCTAAGCAGGTAACTACAGATAAAAGGTTAAATACCTCCACAAATAGCTACTCTATGTTTACTTTATTTTGTGTCACGTGCTGATTTGCTTAGTGAGACAGGAATACGTAATTGACTATCTCCTACCTGCTCCTTCTTTCTCCTTCAGCACACTTTTCGTCTTTAAATATTGAAGCCTCAAAATCATCTTTGGAGAAAGGGACAGACCACAGACTCTTTTTGTGATTCCACATTTATTTTTTTCAGGTATGTCCTTAATCTTGGCAAAATAAACTTCTTAATTGATTAACACCTGTCTCAGACTTTTTTTTTTTTTGGTTTATAATATAAACCCATAGTTATTCGCAGTTTTTACTCAAGAGTTGCTAGGGTCTGAAAGCGTCTCCCAAAATTCATGTGTTGGAAATGCAATCTCTGACAGTGTTAGGTGGTTGGCCTTTTGGGAGGTGTTTAGGTAATGAGGGTTTTGCCCTCACAAATGGATTAGTGCTGATATAAAAAGGGCTTGCAGAAGTGAGTTCCCTCTCCTCTGCTCTTCTACCATATAAGAATACAAAGTTCATACCCATCTTGCCCTTTCATATTCTGTCATGAGGGAACACAGCAAAAAGCACTTCCCTAGATGCCAGCTCCTTGATCTTGGACTTCCCAGCCTCCAGAAGTGTAAGATAATAAATTTCTGTTTTTTATAAGTTACCCACTCTCTGATATTCTGTTATACTCACACAAAATAGACTAAGACAGAACTCTATCTGAAATGTACTATATACCCAGGTACTTCCTGTAGGAGAATCACTGAGATCAGTAACCTCCAAACCAATATTTCCTACTCTAAAATAGCACAGGTTTTGTAAAAAGTTCGCTGACTATTATGTCCCTGTGAGATCTTCTCATAGTTGTCTATTGCTAAATTGGACCCTAACCATCTCACTCCTGCCTGAAAATTAGAAAACCAGATCCCTCTTTATGGGTTAGCAATGGATCTTAATACAAAAGAAACTGGGAATAAATTTCATCAGTCATGACTTACTTGCCAGAAAAGTGGAAATACCCCATTTGTCCTTGACTTTCTGTGCTTGTGGGAAATACTTGTTATTATTATCTTTTGTTTCTTATTAACACAGAACCAGAGGACTCTCCTTTCTCCAATCTTTCCAAGTATTCACTTGCCAGTTTTGAGTTAACTCTCAAGATATTTACAACATCCATCTCTTACTTTTGTAGTTCTTTGAAGAAATTGATTCTCAAAAATAATTTACCCACCATAAAGATATGCATTTATAGCTTTTAAAACTACAAGCGTGGCCCCTTTGCTTCCCTGACCTGCTGTGGCTACACACATTTTCAATACATGTGATATAATCCAATGCATTTTGTGCTTCAGAAAGCAATTTTCATGCCAATAACACACCCAATGAGCATGTTAATAACTTCTGTTAAGTTTAAAACAATTGTCAAGGAGTGTTATAAGGTGAATAACAAATAAACTTTGTATTCTGCCTTTTATAAACAGTTGAGCTTAGCAGCCTGGTCTTAATTCAGTTAAATCACAAAAAGTAAACGAAAAACTATACTCTCAAATAATTTACAAAGAGCATTTAAACTTACAATTAAAGCCCAGATTGCACTAAAACAGGCAATTTCCATTTTAAACCTTTTAGCCATTAATGTTTATTAACACATCTAGAATTGCATTCATTCCATTTACATTCTTTGTGTTAGGCACCAGAGAAAGAGTAAAAATAACATATTAAAGCTAACATTGTTGTGGAAGTTAGTGCCTAGATTTGGCTTCTATTCTTTCTATTCGGTTTTCAGTGTATTTGACCTAGGTGCTTGCATTAGGAGTAGACAATGTAACCTGATGCTACATCAGCTCCCTGGTTTGAAGTGGACTCTCCTGAATCAAACCTACTTAGTTGGATTTAAGAGCTGGCATGTGGGGTTTATGAAAACACGCAGAACACAATAACTAAAGAGTGTGGTTCGAAAGAACAATCTCCAGGTAAAGTGGTAGGAACAGGGCCACTCTATAGAAACGCAATGGAAACTACTCTATTAAAAATAAGATAGGCCGGTTGCGGTGGCTCACGCCTGTAATCACAGTACTTTGGGAGGTCGAGGAGGGTGGATCACAAGGTCAGGAGATCAAGACCATCTTGGCTAACATGGTGAAACCCCATCCCTACTAAACATACAAAAAATCAGCCAGGTGAGGTGGTGGGCACCTGTAGCCCCAGCTACTCGGGAGACTGAGGCAGGAGAATGGAGTGAACCTGGGAGGTGGAGCTTGCAGTGAGCCGAGATTGCGCCACTGTACTCCAGCCTGGGCGACAGAGCAAGACTCTGTCTCAAATATATAAATAAATAAATAAATAAATAAATAAGTAAATAAATAAATAAATAAATATTTAAAAAACCTTTTATTTTTTCATTTATTCAACAACTATATACCTAGAATCTAAGATTTGCCAGACAGTAAAGTGCATGTAGGCAATGAAGATGTCAGAATTTTCTCAGCAATGATCATGGCATCAGACATCAGTGTGTTGATTAAAGGAAGATAATTGATATCAAGAACTCAGACATGACAACACTTAAAATCTGTTATTAGCAATTTTTTAGAATACAACATATTTTATTAACTATTGTAACTACTTTGTACAACAGGTCTCTTGAATTTTTTTTCCTCTAGCTACCTGAAATTTTCTATCTTTAGATCAACATCTTTCCAAATACCCCCTTCCCCCCAACATCCAGCCTCTGAAAACCACTATTCTACTCTCTACTTCTATGATTCATCACAAAAAATAATAACTATGTGAGGTAAAGCATTAATAATGCATTAATCAGTTTGATTTAGCCATTCCACAATGTGTGTGTATATATAATTGTTATATAAATATATATTAAACATATTACGTATTTTAAGCATCATGTTGTACATGAAAAATACATAAACTTGTATTTGTCAATTAAGCAAATTAAACATGTAAGAATAGATAAAAGGAGCTTAGAGATACGGAAACACTGGAGTGGGGCCAAAACGCAGCTAAATTAATAATACATGGTAAAGCCTGAATAAATGAATTAAAGCAAAGTAGAATTATCGGATCTTTTAAAATGTTAATATATTACCTCATATATAACTTTTGAATATTACGGTACTATACTTTCAATTCCTCCCTCCCATATTCTGTGCTATTTTATATATTTTACTTTATCTATGTTTTCTAAAATCATTATATTTATAAACAATTTTGATGATAATGAAAACTTTCAGCATTTATCTCACACAAAGAAAAGTATTTCACTTCTATAGTTGAGAGATATTTTTGCCAACTAGAGAATACAGAATTGAGAGGTATCTTTATATTGTCACTATTCTTTTAGCTCTTTAAGTGGTCACTGAATTGTCTTTGGGCTTGTGTAATTTCTAATGAGAATTCTACTTTGATTTTCTGTATGTAAGTATATTTTTCTTCCAAACACTTTCAATATTTCCTTTTAGCTTGGTTTCAGGTGTTTGAATCTCATATGTTTAGGTTTTTAAATTTTATTTATTCTTGAATTTCTCTTGTTGGGTCTATAGCTTGATATCTGTGATTATTTTTGGAAAACTCTAGGCTCATGTCTTTTTTATTGATATATAAAAGTTAGACATATTTATGGAGTACAGTGTGATATTTAGATACATGCATACAATGTGTAATGACCAAATGAAGGTAATTGGGATATCCATCACTTTAAATATTTATCATTTCTTTGTGTTAGGAAAATTTCAAATATTCTCTCCCAGCTATTTTGAAATACAATAAATTCTTGTTAATTATAGTTGTTATACCACGCTATCAAACAACAGAACTTATTTCAAGGCCCTTATATCTTCAAATTTTTCTTTTGTCTTATCTCCATCTTTTCTTCAGTGATTCTTACTAGATACATGATAGTATCCCTCACCTCTTTAACGCTCTGTTTCCCCCTACTCCTTTTTCTATTTACGTCTCCATTTGAGTAGTTTCTATTTCACATCTGCCCATGTATGCTGTCAAACTTTTCCCTAGTTATTCTAAATTATCTGCCTGATAGCTGTAATTTGGAATTCATCTCTGAACCTGGGGTCTGCTTTGTCTCTTAAGACTTTTACTTTGTGTGTCTTGTCATTTTGATTAAATGACATATATGGTACATAGACCTGTAAAAACTCAAGTACATTTTTGTGCCTCTTCTTTTACTAAGCTGCTACTGTGGGATTTGAGTCAGTTTAGTCAGGAACTGAGCTGGGTTTAGGATGTTTTGTTGCTATTGCTACCCTTAGTACAACACAGTCTTCAAATTTCTCTGGCTTTACCTCCTGCTTAGGCAGGTATTGTTTTACTGGATGGTTTTCCTCATTGTCCCTGTGGCACCTTTAGATTTTGGCTTTTCCTGTATGAATTGCATTTCACAGAAGGTCCTTCACCATGCCTGTGACTCAGTAGTGAATTGTTGTTGCATTTTACTTCTAGCTTGCTAGTCTAGAAGTGGGGAACAGGTGAGTGACATTACTTTTTGGGCAGGTTCAACCTCATCCTTAAGCAGCCATTTGGTCTTACAGTCTCAGGGATGGTTCATTTTCTGTGATAACTCTCATTGACTACAGGTAAGAGAAGCTCAATGATTTGGGCCAAGGATGATCCTACCTTTCCTCTAGGGTTAGAGCTGGGTATTCACTGTTACATTTTACTTCTAGCTTGTTAGTCTAGTAGTGGGGAACAGGTGAGTGATATTATTTCTTGGACAGGTTCAACCTCATCCTTGAGCAGGCATTTGTTCCTAGGGTCTCAGGGATGGTTCATTTTCTGTGATAACTCTCATTGCTTATGGGTAAGAGAAGCTCAGTGATTTGGGCCAAGGATGATCCTGTCTTTCTTCCAGGGTTAGAACTGGGTATTCACTCATGTCTTAGTAATAATAAAGTTTACTGTCCTTCCCCTGGAGACATGACACTTTTGTCCTTCCTCCAGAACTGTGCCATTGAGAAAAAAGTCTTCTGGTCTCCTACCTCACACCTAAACTCTCCTGACAGAATCCAGTGTAGTTTCAAAGAAAAAGTCTGTGAGTGGGTGAAGCTTCCTCCACCCACTGTCTGTCAGGTAAGTCAGAACTTGTGTCTCATCTGTCTCTGGAAACAATGGCTCTTTTTAGTGATGGATGTTTGGCTGTCCTTTGACCTCAATTCTATGATGAGTTCAAAAAAGTTATTATTTTATAGAGGATCTTGCTTTTTCTGGTTGTCATATTGAAATCAGCACTTGTTCAAGCTTGTTATAGCCTAAGAAAAGCCAAAAATCATCTCCATTTATGTTTTATACTAAATAAACTAAAAATGGACAGAAAATATAATACAATCATGCATTATACCCCAGTTTTCTCTATGTTTAGCATCTCAAGAGTTTGATATCACAATGTGTTGTCGAAGAATTAAAAATATGTAATAATCTATGTTTGCTTTTATTCTTTGACTCAGCATAGCCACTTATAGAAATTCATGTGAAGTCATGCCTCTAAAAATCCAAATAAGTTATGCATAATATTATTTATTTTAATATTACTATCAGTATTCAGTAGTAAAATATTGGAAAAAGACAAATGCCATCCAAGTAAAATTGCTTTGATAAATTTTGGTGCATCCACACGTTCAAGTACTAAACAGTCAGAAAGAGTTTGAGCAAGATCTCTCTATAAAATGATATTAAGAGAAATTTTAAAAGCAAGGTGCAAAATTGTCTATATGATATGCTTTTTCTTTCTTAAAATGAAGAACAATATACACACATATGTTTACTTATTTTTCAAAGGAAACACAAAATAATACAAGATGAAAATTCTTGCCTATAAGAGGTGTCAAGGAATAGAATGAGGGTTTATGAGATTAACCTGGTACTTCTGTAACTTTTCCTTTCTTATATCTTTGAATTTTGTACCATGTAAATATTTATATTTTCAAAATATAAAATTTAATAAAATAGATTGCAAGGAGTAACAACAATCTTCAAAATAAAGAAATAAAAGATGACAGACAAATGTTTATAATAGCCTTGCAGTAATAGCCAGCATTTGAAGACAGCCCAAAATTTCACCAACAGGGAAATGGTGTCTCTGGGATTTTCAGATAATGTAATATTATTCGGCAATAAATAGGAACAAGCTATGATTCATGCAATGCCATTCATGATGCTCAAAAATAATATCCTAAGTAAAATAATCCTGACACAAAAAGGTACACACTGTTACCACATTTATACAGAAACCTAGAACAGGAAAACCAATCTATAGTGACAGAAAAAATGTCTAATGATCTTACCTCTATTGTAGACATTTTTCAACATATTTTAGTTTGTTTCCTTGGTTACCATTTTGGTAGCTACCATAATCTTCAAAACCCCATTATTCAGTTTAGAACTAAATTGTTGCCTTCCAAAGCCAAGTGATTTTTTCTTTAAGTATAATATTTGATAGTCTACCAGCTACAGACAGTCTTTTATAATGCCCCCAAATTACAGGCTACCTGTACTCCTTGATCTGTTTGTCCCAGTATGACTAGAGATGGGCCAGATATTCCTCAGACCCTCATTGTGAGTGCTTGCTGAGTGTCTGTGGTGAATGTCTTAAGATTATATTTGTATTTATTAAAACTTGGGTTGACCGGGAGGCGGAACTTGCAGTGAGCCAAGATCGCGCCACTGCACTCCAGCCTGGGTGACAGAGTGAGACTCTGTCTCAAAAAAATAAATACATAAACATAAAAAACTTGGGTTGAAAAATCAGGAAGTACCTGTTGAATATTAAGGTTTCTTTCATCCTTTAAAAATAGGATAAAAGTAACAGAAGAACACTATTACTTGATAATGTGTGTTCTATTTGTTATGTATAATAGATATACACATTTTACATTTATTCCAGAGAAATATTTTAATATGAATGATTAATGATTTTTTTCTCATTAAAATAATATAGTTGTTGCAATGAAGGATGAGGCCTTGTTTTTAATGTAGGAGTCTATGAATGATCAGTCACATGGTATGGTAGGAATTTTCCACTCTGGACTAGATGTTAGATGTTATGGGAGATTGACAGAACTTGTTTTAAGGGTTTTCTATGATTATTTTTCATCAACTTTATTTTTCAGAGCAGTTTTGGTTCATAGCAAAGTTTAGAGGAAGGTACAGAGATTTCCTATGTACCATTTCCTCCTTATTTGAACAGACTCCCCCACTATGAACATCCTGCAACAGAATGTTACATTTTTTACAACTGATGGACCTACATTGACATAATTATCACTCACAGTCCATGAACTGCATTAGAGTTTATTGTTGGTATTGAACATTCTGTGGATTTTGACAAATGTATAATGATGTGCATCCATCATTCTTTGTCATACAAAATAATTTTACTGTCCTAACCATCCTCTGTACACTGCCTATTTAATCCTTCCTTCCTCTAACTCCTCACAACGACTGACCCTTCTATAGTCTCCATGGTTTTGCCTTTTGTCATAATGCCATATAGTTGTAATTGTACAGCATGTAACCTTTTCAGATTGGCTTCTTTTACTTAGTAATAGGCATTTAAGATTCCTCCACATTGGGCCAGGCATGGTGGCACACGCCTGTAATCCCAGCACTTTGGGAGGCTGAGGTGGGCGGATCATCTGAGCTCAGGAGTTCGAGACCAGCCTGGCCAACATGGTGAACCACGTCTCTACTGAAAAAAATACAAAAATTACACTGGCGTGGTGGTGCACGCCTGTTATCCCAGCTACTCAGGAGGCTGAGGCAGAAGAATCACTTGAACCTGAGAGGCGGAGGTTGCAGGGAGCTGAGATGGCTCCACTGCACTCCAGCCTGGGCAACAAGAGTGAAACTCAGTATAAAAAAAAAGAATCCTCCATATCATTTTATGGCTAGAGAGCTCATTTTCTTCTGGTGCCAAATAATATTCTATTGTTTGAAGGTTCTACAGGTTACCTCTTTATTAACTTTCTGAAGGACATCTTGGTTGCTTCCAACTTTTGGAAATTATGAATAAAGGTGATATAAACATTTTTGTACATGTTTTTGTGTGGATAAGTTTTTCGTGCATTTAGGTAAACATCTAAAAGTTGATTGCTGGATCTTATTCAGAAGTGAAGCCAGCTGGATTTCCTGGGTCGAGTGGGGACTTGGACAACTTTTCTGTCTAGCTAAAGGATTGTAAACACACCAATCAGCACTCTGTAAAAACGCACCAATCAGCACTCTGTGTCTAGTTAAAGGATTGTAAATGCACCAATCAGCACTCTGTAAAAATGCACCAATCTGCACTCTGTGTCTAGCTAAAGTATTGTAAATGCACCAATCAGCACTCTGTGTCTAGCTAAAGGATGGTAAATGCACCAATCAGCATTCTGTAAAAATGCACCAATCAGTGCTCTGTGTCAAGCTAAAGAATTTTAAACGCACCAATCAGTGCTCTGTAAAATGGACCAATCAGTGCTCTGTAAAATGGACCAATCAGCAGGAGGTGGGCAGGGACAAATAAGGGAATAAAAGCTGGCCATCCCAGCCAGCAGTGGCAACCTGCTCGGGTCCCCTTCAACACAGTGGGAGTTTATTCTTTCACTCTTCACAATAAGTTTGCTGCTGCTCACTCTTTGGGTCCGTGCCACCTTTAAGAGCTGTTAACACTCACCACGAAGTTCCCTGGCTTCATTCTTAAAGTCATCGAGACCAAGAACCCACTGGAATGAACCAGCTCCAGACACATTAGGGTAAGACTATTTCTACTTTTGAAAGAAACTGTCACATTGTCTTCCAAAGAAGGTGTATTCTTACCAGAAATGAATAAGAATCCCTGTGGCTCCATACGTTCCCCAGCATTTGGTGTTCTTAGTATTTTGAATCCTGGCCTGTTACAGTCCTTGGCCCATTTTGTAATTAGGTGATTTGTTTTCTTACTGTTGCATTATAAGAGTTCTTTGTATATTTATTAATAGATAGTAGTCCTTTATCAGATTCACATTTTACAAATATTTTCTGCTGGTCTATGACTTGTCTTTATCTTATCTCGAGTGTGTCTTTCACAGAGCAGAAGTTTTTAGTTTTAATGAGATCCAGCTTATCAAATATTTCTTTTGTGGATCATGCCTTTGGCATTATATCTAAAAACTCATAGCCATACCCAAGTTTATTTAGATGTTTCTCTTATGTCATCTCCTAAAAGTTTCATAGTTTTGAATTTTACTTTTAATCCAATGATTCATTTTGAGTGACTTGTAGTGAAGGTTGTAAGATCTGCATCTTAATTCATTTTGTTTGTTTCTTGTTATTTTGGCATAAGAATATCCTTTTGTCCTAGCACCATTTGCTGAAAACATTTTGTTTTCCCCTTGTATTGCCTTTATCCCTTTGTCAAAAATCAGTTCACTACATTTGTGATTATCTATTTTTTGGACTCTCCATTCTGATCCTTTGATCTAGTAGCCTGTTCTATTGCCAAATACTTCACTGACTTGGTTACCCTAGCAGTTTAGTAAGTCTTGAAGTCAGATAGTGTCAGTTTTCTGATTTTGTTCTCCTTTAATACAGTGTTGTCTATTCTGAGACTTGAACTTTAGAATACATTTTTCAATATGCACAAGATAACTTGCTGTGATTTTCACTGGGATTGTATAGAATTTATGTATCAAATTGGGAAGAAATGACGTCTTGACCATATGGGATTTTTCTATCCATGATGATGGATTATCTCTCAATTTACTTCTTTTTATTCAACAGTTTTGTAGTTGTCTTTTGGTAGATTTTGTCCATATTTTCTTAGATTTTTACTTAAGTATCTCATTTTGAGGGAGTGTTAATATAAATGGTAACATGTTCTATATTTTAAATTCTACTTGATTATTGCTGATGCATAAGAAAATATTGTTTAATTTGCTCTTGTTCTAGCTGCCTAAAGTTGGCAGCTTCGATTAGTGAATTTAGGATTTTCTTCTTTTCTAACATATGCATTCAATACTATGAAGTTTCTGCTAAGCACTGCTTTCCCACACGTTTTGATGTTGTATTTTAACTTAATTTGAAATATATTTTTAAATTTACTTAAAGATTCCTGTAATCCATGTATTATTTATAAGTGTTATTTTTAATCACCAAGTATTTGGGGATTTTTGCAGTGATCTTTCTGCTATTAACTTCTAGTATAATTCCATTGTGGTTTGAGAACCTACTTTGTATAATTTCTATTCTTTTAAATTTGTTAAGATTTGTTTTATAACCCTGTGGTATATTTTGGTGAATATTCATGTGAGTTTGGTAAAATACATATTCTAATATTACCGAATTGACTAGTCTATAGGTAATTATATCCAGTTGATGATGATGTTGTTGAGTTATGCTATATCTTTACTGATTTTCTATCTGCTGTCTCTATCCATTTGATGATTCAGCAATGTTGAAGTCTCCAATTATAGTAGTGTGTTCTCTTTGTAGTTCTATATGTTTTTCCTCATATATTTTGAAGCTCTGGTGTTAGGGACTTAAGTACTAACTGTCATTATGTCTTCTTAGAAAATTGGCCCCTTTATCATCATGTAATACCATTCTTTAGCTGTGATAATGTTCCCTGCTCTGACATCGGTACTCTAAAATTAATGTTGCTACTCTCATTTTCTTTTGATTAGTCTTAGTATGCTATGGCTTTCTCCATCCTTTGCTCTTAATCTCTGTATGTCTTTATATTTAAAGTCAATTTATTGTACACAGCGTATAGTTTGTCTTGTTTTTGTATCCCACTTTGACTTAGTTTTTTAAGTAGAATATTTTGACCTTTTAAATAAAAAGTGACTATTGATATAGTTGAATTTATATTGACCATATTGTAATTGTTTCCTATTTGATGTCTTTGTTATTTGTCACTATTTTTGTTATCTACTCTTTTTCTGCCTTTTATGTTTTTAATAAAGCATTTGCAGTATTCTATTTTCTCTCCTTTCATAGGTAGTACAAGTACCAACTAATAATAATGTATTTCTAATTTCCTCCCTCTTGTTCCTGCAATCATTGCTATCATTCAATTCCTGTATTCATAAGTATACATAAACATATGTGTATCTATTTACATGCATAAGCATGTATAATCAAATACATTGTTGCCATTATAATCATTTTTATTTTGTTAGATTAAGAATAAGAAAAATGTGTTTTTATTTAACCATTATTTATCTCTTCTCCAATGCTCTTTTTTTATGTAGATTCAAATTTATGATCTATCTGTCTTTCTCTCTGAAGAACTTCGTTTAACATTTCTTGCAAGGTAGATGTACTAGCAAAAAAAATCAATTTTTATTTATCTGAGAAAATCTTTATTTCTTCTTCATTTGTGAAGGTTAATTTTGCATAGTATGTAATTCTAGGTTGGTGTTTTCCACCTCCAAATCCTTTAAATATTTCATTCTAATTTTTTCTTGCCTATGTGATTTATGAGGAGAAGTTGAAAGTAATTCTTATTTTGCTCCTCTATAGGTAAGGCTTTTTTTTCCTTTCTGGCTTCTTTCAATAAAAGTTATTTCTCTTTATCTCTACTTTTATGTAGTTAAAATATGCCTAGGTGTAGGGTATTTTGTTTTTTGTTTGTTTTTGAAACAGAGTCTTACTCGCTCACCCAGGCTGGAGTGCAGTGGCATGATCTTGGCTCAGTGCAACCTCCGCCTCCTGGGTTCAAGCGATTCTCATGCCTCGGCTTCTGGAGTAGCTGGGATTACAGGAGTGTGCCACAACACCTAGCTACTTCTTATATTTTTAGTAGAGATGGGGTTTGCCATGTTGGCCAGACTGGTCTTGAACTCCCAACCTCAGGTGATCCGTTGGCCTCAGCTTCCCAAAGTGCTGGGATTACAGGCATGTTCGGCTGTTTGTTTGCTTGTTTGTTTGTTTTTGGCATTTACCCTGCTTGCTGTTCTCTGGACTTCCTGAATTTGTAGTTTGATGGCTATCATTTATTTGGATAATTTCTCAGTTATTATTGTTTGCAACGTATTTTATCTTTTCGTCTTTTTTTATTCTCTCTCTTTTTCTGGTATTCCCATTATGTATATGCTATACCTTTTGTAGTTGTTCCACTGTTCTTGTATATCTTTCAGTCTTTTCTTTGTTTTATAGTTTTGGAAATTTCCACTGACATATTTTAATCCTCTGAGGTTCTTTCTTCAGTTGTGTCAAGTCTACTAATGAGGCCATCAAAGGCATTTTTATTTTATTTACAGTGCTTTTGATCTTCAACATTTTTTAAATTCTTTCTTAGAATTTTCATCTCTCTGCTTATATTATCCATTTGTTCTTCCATGCTATTTACTTTTTCCGTGAGAATGCTTAGCATATTAGGTGTAGTTTAAAAAAAAATCTGGTCTCATAATTCCAATATCACTTACGTCTTTGAGTTTGGTTCTGATGCTTGCTGCATCTCATCAAAAATGTTTTGGCCTTTTAGTATGCCTTACAATTTTTGTTGAAACCTGGACCTGATGTATTAAGTAAAAGAGACTCTCGTATATAGGCTTTTATTGGTATAGTGATAATGTCCTAGGGAAGGGAAAACATTTTATAGTCATATGATTAAGTCTTGGTCTTTTAGTAGGTTTGGTCTCCTGAGCTGTGAACTTCACAAGTGCTTCTCAGATTTTTTTTCACCACTTAGAAGGATAGGATAACTAGAGTGAGCTGGAGTTGAAATTTTTCTTTCCCTTTGGATCTGTTTGAATCTGATAAAACCCCAAAAGGCTATTATCTGGTAAAATAGTTTCTCTTGAGGGAAACCTTGTTAAGAAGAGCAGAATGCTGTGGATTATTTCAACATGGTTACTTTTGTCCTTTCCTGTAGGAAGTACAAGGGGATGTTTCTCTCTGATCTTCGCTGTGACAATCTAGTAGAGCTCCTGGAGCTAAAACTCAAAAATAAAATAAAATAAAATAAAATAAAAAGAATGTCCCCATTCCCAGTCTCCATGACTGGGCCTTCCTGAAGATTTTAACTCTCAGACTTGTTCATTGTTAGCTTCCAGCAATTTGCCATTTACAGTTTAGGCTCTCCTATTCCAGTACTAGTTTCTTCTGAGCTTTTTTCCTTACAAGCTTATGCTTCGGTAAGTTGTGATTCTTTGTATTCACCTGTCTATCTCTTCAAATGTGGGGGCTTTGGTTTGTCCTGTGACCTCACTTTTCTAATGGACCTGAGTTTATTTTTTAACTTGTTCAGCGTTTCACTTGTTGGAATGAAGTGTTTATTTCCAAGGTTCTTAGGTGGTGGGCCAGAAACTGGAAGTTGATCTCACCCATTAATTTTTAAACGTAGGCTACTACCTCTTTCATTTTCAGTGTTCTCTTAGTTAAAACATTTGGATGACTCTGAAGGAATTAACTTATCCCAGCATCAAAATATTAAAGCTAGCTCAGCAGGCATTCTGCAACAGACTACATTACCATTCAGACACTTCATTTTCTCTGAAATGCAAGATGCCCCCCAAGGACCTGCTTTAAGACTAGTCTTTATACAAAGCAAGGAACTTTTTAATTCTAGCAAACAAGTTAGATATCTTGGTTCTTTTCTGCTCATCCCATCTTACTACAAGAAATAGAGACATATTGGAGCAAATTCATGGTGTCAGTTCTATCATAACTCTGGAAAAACATAATTCTTGCTTTAGAGTCTCTATTTAGCAAGGATAATAACAGTCGTTATTTTTATATTGTGTTGTATTTAGGAGTTAAATAAGTCCTGCCGTATGCTCTAAAAATGAGAAGCATCTTTATTAAGGGCCCATAGCAACAACAACAAAAGTAATGTGTTTTCAAATAAATTTAGATTGTGTGGTAGGTAGAAAAATGTCTCTTCCCAAGAACATTCTTGTCCTGATCCCTGAACCTATAAGTTTCACTCACATGGTAAGAAGAGTTTTACATGTCA